>NC_000023.11:82765572-83068602 GCF_000001405.40 Homo sapiens | reverse complement strand
GAGTTTTGTAGTTCAGAAGTCCTGGCAGGCTTATCTGGATTCTCTGCTCAGGGTCTCACAAGACTGAAATCAAGATGCTGGTTGGGAGTGAGGTCTCATCTGGAGGCTGGGAAGAATCTGTTTCCAATCTCATTCAGATTGTTGGCTGAATTTGTTCCTTGTGGTTGTAGGTCTGAGGTCCCTGTTTTCTTGCTGGCTATTAGTAAAGGACATCCGTCTGCTCTTTGAGACCACCTGCCTTCCTCTCATGGAATCTCAAACAAATAGTCTAATATTATGGTTAAAAGTGTGGGGGTTGTGGTGTGTGATAGTGATGATGATGATGATAATAAGTTGAGAATTTCTTTGCTGATTCTGCTTCAAGTTGGTAAATTGTGAGTATGAAGATCTATTGCATCTCAGTCTTTTGGCTCAAATAAGTGCAATTTGATGGTCTGAGTGTGCTACTCTTTATTCATAGCAGATTCTAGTTTATCTAACAATTATGATTTGTAAAGAGAAAAGTAAAAGGAGCTAATATTGTGAGCAAAGGATAAGGTTATCTTCACTTGGAAGAGGTTGAAATTGGGGCCTAGAGAAATTATAGGTTGTCCAAGCTTAAACAGACAATAAGTCTCAAAGTGTACGAGCCCCTTTTTCTCTGGCTAAAAGGAAACCTCAGCTGAGGTGCCATGGAGATAAGTCTTGCCACAATTTTGTGTGGTTATTTTTTATTATGGAGAATCTGTTTACATCAGGGTTGCTATATACCCTTCATCATTATGGTCTTAGTGTGCTGTGACCTATGGCCTTAAGTGTAAAGGCATTAACCTCTAGGTTTAACAAAGATGAGAAGGAAGTAAAACTCTTTTGCAGTGATTCCACTGAGAAGTTCTGGACACTTTCAGGCACTTTGGTGGTTGATCATATTGGTTACTTTTTGATAGGTTTCACTCTCACACAATCCATAAGAATATGTGATAAGCTCCTATAATAAACATTTGTGTATAAGCCTATAAATTATTACTAGGGTATGTGGTTATTATATTTGATTTCAAAATAGAACGAAATGTGGGTTGCAAGCAAGAGATTTTTTATGTAATAAAGGGGAGTAAAAATTGGCAAAAAATGAAAAATTAGATTAAAGAAGATGCCATGAAAGAAATTGCCTAAGGTAAAACTAACAGAAATATCAATGAAGAGACAGAGTAAAAAAAGGAAAAGTAGAGCAGGAAGAAAGAAAAAAACACAAAAACAATTTTGGCTGCTTTCTATGAAAATAGGTAAGTTATGCTACTGGCCCTGGCAATTTGTGGCTGATTTGACTGGGATGAAGGGTAAGATTGGACAGGCATTTTTAAAGTGGGGAGTTTTAGGTATGTGAAATATAACGTTACAAGATGGATACATCAGAAAGTGGTTGTTTTCATTATGAAAGAATGATTTGCTATGCATAAACATTCACTGCAGGGCTCTTTTAATTATGGTTTTCCCTAAATACATTTACATATCTGCTTACATATTATTAACTACACAGAGCAACTGAGTTAAGAAGCAAAGAAACAAAAAAACAAAGACTTAGGGGCATCTGCCTCTTAAAATTCATCCACTGTGGATAAATACGATTTTCTTAAGAGCAGGGAGCATGCCATGTTTGTTATATCTAACATATAGCATATGCTCAGTAGATATTGAATAAATCAATGGAAATTTGATGAACAATGGCTACATTTAATAAATGCATTTACAATTGTACTCTATCTACTTCCAGAAAGGCATTTGAATTGGCCTATAAGAAAATAAACATGTATAAAAGATGACTGGTGGTGACATAGTGCAATAGGCAGAATAATGGTCCCTCAAATGTACGTGTTATAATCCACAGCACCTGTGAATATGTAATGTCATATAGCAAATGGAATTCAAGGTATAGGTAAAACTAAGGTTATTAATCATTTGACCATATTAATAATTTGACCTATTATCCTGGACTATTCAGGTGAATCTAATGTAATCACAAGGACTCTTAAAAATGGAAGAGGAAGGTTAATTAGTCAATGTCAGAGTAAGGTAGTGTGAGAAAGACTTGACTGGTGATGACTGGCTTTGAAGGGACAAGAAAGGGACAAAAACCAAAGAATGTGAACAGCCTCTAGAAATTGGAAAAATAAAGAAACTGAAATTTCCTCTAGAACCCCCAGAAAAAAAAATCAGCCCTGCTGATATTTTGATATTAGCCCAGTGTGATGGTTGTTGGGAGAAAAGCTGAGTGTTGGGAGAGAAGCTGAGGCAGGGCTTGCATGTCTGCTAGACTTGCTGGCTCTTTGCTTCTAGCACTTCCGTTATCTCAAGCAGCCATATGTTTCTCATTCACTTGATACACTGTTTCCTTTCAACCCCTACATCCTCACCACCTGTTTGTTTGTTTGTTTGAGCACCAATAAATAGCGTGGGCTCCCAGAGCTCTGGGCCTTCACAGCCTCCACACTCACGATGGCCCCCCTGGTCCCACTTCTTCTCTCAAACTGTCTTTTTCTCATTCCTTTGACTCCACTGGACTTTGTCGCCCCCACGACCTGGTGTTGGGTCTGATCATCCCAACAATGGTTAATATTACAAGTCAACTTGACTGGCTTGAGGATGCCCAGATGGCTGGTGAAGCACTGTTCCTGGGTGTGTCTGTGAGGGTGTTGCCAGAGGAGATTGACATTTGAGTCAGTGGACTGGAGGATCAAGATTCAACCCAGTGTGGGTGGACACCATTCAATCGGCTGCCAGAATGGCAAGAACAAAGCAGGTGGAAGAAGGCATGATAATTTTGCTTGCTGAGTCTTGTGGCTTTCTCTCTCTCTTCCCATGCTGGATACTTGATTCCTCTCCTCCTGCCCTTGGACATCAGACTCCAGGTTCTTAGGCCTTTGGACTTTGGGACTTACATCAGCAGCTTCCCAGGGGGTCTTGGGCCTTCAGCTTAAGAGTGAGGGCTGAGGGAGGAGCCAAGATGGCCGAATAGGAACAGCTCCGGTCTACAGCTCCCAGCGTGAGCGACGCAGAAGACGGGTGATTTCTGCATTTCCATCTGAGGTACCGGGTTCATCTCACTAGGGAGTGCCAGACAGTGGGCGCAGGCCAGTGTGTGTGCGCACCGTGCGCGAGCCGAAGCAGGGCGAGGCATTGCCTCACCTGGGAAGCGCAAGGGGTCAGGGAGTTCCCTTTCCGAGTCAAAGAAAGGGGTGACGGACGCACCTGGAAAATCAGGTCACTCCCACCCGAATATTGCACTTTTCAGACTGGCTTAAGAAACGGCGCACCACGAGACTATATCCCACACCTGGCTCAGAGGGTCCTACGCCCACGGAATCTCACTGATTGCTAGCACAGCAGTCTGAGATCAAACTGCAAGGCGGCAACGAGGCTGGGGGAGGGGCGCCCGCCATTGCCCAGGCTTGCTTAGGTAAACAAAGCAGCCGGGAAGCTCGAACTGGGTGGAGCCCACCACAGCTCAAGGAGGCCTGCCTGCCTCTGTAGGCTCCACCTCTGGGGGCAGGGCACAGACAAACAAAAAGACAGCAGTAACCTCTGCAGACTTAAATGTCCCTGTCTGACAGCTTTGAAGAGAGCAGTGGTTCTCCCAGCACGCAGCTGGAGATCTGAGAACGGTCAGACTGCCTCCTCAAGTGGGTCCCTGACACCTGACCCCCGAGCAGCCTAACTGGGAGGCACCCCCCAGCAGGGGCACACTGACACCTCACACAGCAGGGTATTCCAACAGACCTGCAGCTGAGGGTCCTGTCTGTTAGAAGGAAAACTAACAACCAGAAAGGACATCTACACCGAAAACCCATCTCTACATCACCATCATCAAAGACCAAAAGTAGATAAAACCACAAAGATGGGGAAAAAACAGAACAGAAAAACTGGAAACTCTAAAACGCAGAGCGCCTCTCCTCCTCCAAAGGAACGCAGTTCCTCACCAGCAACAGAACAAAGCTGGATGGAGAATGATTTTGACGAGCTGAGAGAAGAAGGCTTCAGACGATCAAATTACTCTGAGCTACGGGAGGACATTCAAACCAAAGGCAAAGAAGTTGAAAACTTTGAAAAAAATTTAGAAGAATGTATAACTAGAATAACCAATACAGAGAAGTGCTTAAAGGAGCTGATGGAGCTGAAAACCAAGGCTCGAGAACTACGTGAAGAATGCAGAAGCCTCAGGAGCCGATGCGATCAACTGGAAGAAAGGGTATCAGCAATGGAAGATGAAATGAATGAAATGAAGCGAGAAGGGAAGTTTAGAGACAAAAGAATAAAAAGAAATGAGCAAAGCCTCCAAGAAATATGGGACTATGTGAAAAGACCAAATCTACGTCTGATTGGTGTACCTGAAAGTGATGTGGAGAATGGAACCAAGTTGGAAAACACTCTGCAGGATATTATCCAGGAGAACTTCCCCAATCTAGCAAGGCAGGCCAATGTTCAGATTCAGGAAATACAGAGAACGCCACAAAGATACTCCTCGAGAAGAGCAACTCCAAGACACATAATTGTCAGATTCACCAAAGTTGAAATGAAGGAAAAAATGTTAAGGGCAGCCAGAGAGAAAGGTCGGGTTACCCTCAAAGGAAAGCCCATCAGACTAACAGCGGATCTCTCGGCAGAAACCCTACAAGCCAGAAGAGAGTGGGGGCCAATATTCAACATTCTTAAAGAAAAGAATTTTCAACCCAGAATTTCATATCCAGCCAAACTAAGCTTCATAAGTGAAGGAGAAATAAAATACTTTATAGACAAGCAAATGCTGAGAGATTTTGTCACCACCAGGCCTGCCCTAAAAGAGCTCCTGAAGGAAGCGCTAAACATGGAAAGGAACAACCGGTACCAGCCGCTGCAAAATCATGCCAAAATGTAAAGACCATCGAGACTAGGAAGAAACTGCATCAACTAATGAGCAAAATCACCAGCTAACATCATAATGACAGGATCAAATTCACACATAACAATATTAACTTTAAATATAAATGGACTAAATTCTGCAATTAAAAGACACAGACTGGCAAGTTGGATAAAGAGTCAAGACCCATCAGTGTGCTGTATTCAGGAAACCCATCTCACGTGCAGAGACACACATAGGCTCAAAATAAAAGGATGGAGGAAGATCTACCAAGCCAATGGAAAACAAAAAAAGGCAGGGGTTGCAATCCTAGTCTCTGATAAAACAGACTTTAAACCAACAAAGATCAAAAGAGACAAAGAAGGCCATTACATAATGGTAAAGGGATCAATTCAACAAGAGGAGCTAACTATCCTAAATATTTATGCACCCAATACAGGAGCACCCAGATTCATAAAGCAAGTCCTGAGTGACCTACAAAGAGACTTAGACTCCCACACATTAATAATGGGAGACTTTAACACCCCACTGTCAACATTAGACAGATCAACGAGACAGAAAGTCAACAAGGATACCCAGGAATTGAACTCAGCTCTGCACCAAGCAGACCTAATAGACATCTACAGAACTCTCCACCACAAATCAACAGAATATACATTCTTTTCAGCACCACACCACACCTATTCCAAAATTGACCACATAGTTGGAAGTAAAGCTCTCCTCAACAAATATAAAAGAACAGAAATTATAACAAACTATCTCTCAGACCACAGTGCAATCAAACTAGAACTCAGGATTAAGAATCTCACTCAAAGCCGCTCAACTACATGGAAACTGAACAACCTGCTCCTGAATGACTACTGGGTGCATAACGAAATGAAGGCAGAAATAAAGATGTTCTTTGAAACCAACGAGAACAAAGACACCACATACCAGAATCTCTGGGACGCATTCAAAGCAGTGTGTAGAGGGAAATTTATAGCACTAAATGCCTACAAGAGAAAGCAGGAAAGATCCAAAATTGACACCCTAACATCACAATTAAAAGAACTAGAAAAGCAAGAGAAAACACATTCAAAAGCTAGCAGAAGGCAAGAAATAACTAAAATCAGAGCAGAACTGAAGGAAATAGAGACACAAAAAACCCTTCAAAAAATCAATGAATCCAGGAGCTGGTTTTTTGAAAGGATCAACAAAATTGAAAGACCGCTAGCAAGACTAATAAAGAAAAAAAGAGAGAAGAATCAAATAGACACAATAAAAAATGATAAAGGGGATATCACCACTGATCCCACAGAAATACAAACTACCATCAGAGAATACTACAAACACCTCTACGCAAATAAACTAGAAAATCTAGAAGAAATGGATAAATTCCTTGACACATACACTCTCCCAAGACTAAACCAGGAAGAAGTTGAATCTCTGAATAGACCAATAACAGGCTCTGAAATTGTGGCAATAATCAATAGTTTACCAACCAAAAAGAGTCCAGGACCAGATGGATTCACAGCCGAATTCTACCAGAAGTACAAGGAGGAACTGGTACCATTCCTTCTGAAACTATTCCAATCAATAGAAAAAGAGGGAATCCTCCCTAACTCATTTTATGAGGCCAGCATCATTCTGATACCAAAGCCGGGCAGAGACACAACCAAAAAAGAGAATTTTAGACCAATATCCTTGATGAACATTGATGCAAAAATCCTCAATAAAATACTGGCAAACCGAATCCAGCAGCACATCAAAAAGCTTATCCACCATGATCAAGTGGGCTTCATCCCTGGGTTGCAAGGCTGGTTCAATATACGCAAATCAATAAATGTAATCCAGCATATAAACAGAGCCAAAGACAAAAACCACATGATTATCTCAATAGATGCAGAAAATGCCTTTGACAAAATTCAACAACCCTTCATGCTAAAAACTCTCAATAAATTAGGTATTGATGGGACGTATTTCAAAATAATAAGAGCTATCTATGACAAACCCACAGCCAATATCATTCTGAATGGGCAAAAACTGGAAGCATTCCCTTTGAAAACTGGCACAAGACAGGGATGCCCTCTCTCACCGCTCCTATTCAACATAGTGTTGGAAGTTCTGGCCAGGGCAATCAGGCAGGAGAAGGAAATAAAGGGTATTCAATTAGGAAAAGAGGAAGTCAAATTGTCCCTGTTTGCAGACGACATGATTGTTTATCTAGAAAACCCCATCGTCTCAGCCCAAAATCTCCTTAAGCTGATAAGCAACTTCAGCAAAGTCTCAGGATACAAAATCAATGTACAAAAATCACAAGCATTCTTATACACCAACAACAGACAAACAGAGAGCCAAATCATGAGTGAACTCCCATTCACAATTGCTTCAAAGAGAATAAAATACCTAGGAATCCAACTTACAAGGGATGTGAAGGACCTCTTCAAGGAGAACTACAAACCACTGCTCAATGAAATAAAAGAGGACACAAACAAATGGAAGAACATTCCATGCTCATGGGTAGGAAGAATCAATATTGTGAAAATGGCCATACTGCCCAAGGTAATTTACAGATTCAATGCCATCCCCATCAAGCTACCAATGACTTTCTTCACAGAATTGGAAAAAACTACTTTAAAGTTCATATGGAACCAAAAAAGAGCCCGCATTGCCAAGTCAATCCTAAGCCAAAAGAACAAAGCTGGAGGCATCACACTACCTGACTTCAAACTATACTACAAGGCTACAGTAACCAAAACAGCATGGTACTGGTACCAAAACAGAGATATAGATCAATGGAACAGAACAGAGCTCTCTGAAATAATGCCACATATCTACAACTATCCGATCTTTGACAAACCTGAGAAAAACAAGCAACGGGGAAAGGATTCCCTATTTAATAAATGGTGCTGGGAAAACTGGCTAGCCATATGTAGAAAGCTGAAACTGGATCCCTTCCTTACACCTTATACAAAAATCAATTCAAGATGGATTAAAGATTTAAACGTTAGACCTAAAACCATAAAAACCCTAGAAGAAAACCTAGGCATTACCATTCAGGACATAGGCGTGGGCAAGGACTTCATGTCCAAAACACCAAAAGCAATGGCAACAAAAGCCAAAATTGACAAATGGGATCTAATTAAACTCAAGAGCTTCTGCACAGCAAAAGAAACTACCATCAGAGTGAACAGGCAACCTACAACATGGGAGAAAATTTTCGCAACCTACTCATCTGACAAAGGGCTAATATCCAGAATCTACAATGAACTCAAACAAATTTACAAGAAAAAAACAAACAACCCCATCAAAAAGTGGGCGAAGGACATGAACAGACACTTCTCAAAAGAAGACAATTATACAGCCAAAAAACACATGAAGAAATGCTCATCATCACTGGCCATCAGAGAAATGCAAATCAAAACCACTATGAGATATCATCTCACACCAGTTAGAATGGCAATCATTAAAAAGTCAGGAAACAACAGGTGCTGGAGAGGATGTGGAGAAATAGGAACACTTTTTCACTGTTGGTGGGACTGTAAACTAGTTCAACCATTGTGGAAGTCAGTGTGGCGATTCCTCAGGGATCTAGAACTAGAAATACCATTTGACCCAGCCATCCCATTACTGGGTATATACTCAAAGGACTATAAATCATGCTGCTATAAAGACACATGCACACGTATGTTTATTGCGGCACTATTCACAATAGCAAAGACTTGGAACCAACCCAAATGTCCAACAATGATAGACTGGATTAAGAAAATGTGGCACATATACACCATGGAATACTATGCAGCCATAAAAAATGATGAGTTCATGTCCTTTGTAGGGACATGGATGAAATTGGAAACCATCATTCTCAGTAAACTATCGCAAGAACAAAAAACCAAACACCGCATGTTCTCACTCATAGGTGGGGAATGAACAATGAGATCACTTGGACACAGGAAGGGGAATATCACACTCTGGGGACTGTGGTGGGGTCGGGGGAGGGGGGAGGGATAGCATTGGGAGATATACCTAATGCTAGATGACACGTTAGTGGGTACAGCACACCAGCATGGCACATGTATACATATGTAACTAACCTGCACAATGTGCACATGTACCCTAAAACTTAGAGTATAATAAAAAAAAAAAAAAAAAGAAAAAAAAAAAAAAAAGAGTGAGGGCTGCACTGTCAGCTTGCTGATTTTGAGGCTTTTGGACTTAGACCGATTCCATGCTACTGGCTTTTTTCTTTCCCCAGCAGGCAGACAGCCTATTGTGAGATTTCCCCTTGTAATCGTGTGAGCCAATTCTCCCTAATTAACTCCCTTTTATATATACCTATATCCTACTGGTTTTGTCCTTCTGGACAACCCTGGCTAACACACCTGTGAGACCCAATTAGGGTATCTGATCCCCAGGACTGTAAGAAAATAAATGTGTGTTGTTTTAAGCCATTAAGTTTGTGGTAATTTGTTACAACATCAGTAGAAATCTAATACACATAGAAACAAAATGTCCATTTCCAAATATTGATTTTCACATTTTAGTAATGTCTATGCACATGAACCAAAGAATAATGAACTTTAAGTCTTATTTTATTTTTTTCTGAAAACTAGAGCAACACTAATACTACCACTATAAAAGGTATATTTGCTGCTGGTACTGAGATACTTTCATCCTTGTTTTGATAGCCATGGCCTTCCTGAGGAGCCCCAGAAGTTCATTCATTTGCTCACTCATTCAACAGTGAATGACACTATTATAAGTTTTCAAGATACAGCAATGAGCCAGATATAGTGGTGCACACCTGTAGTCCCAGCTACTAAAAAGGCTGAGATGGGAGAACTGCTCGAGCCCAGAAATTTGAACTGCAGTGAGGTATGATCATGCCTCTGCATTCCAGCCTGGGTGACAGAGCAAGACTCCATCACTAAAATAAATTTTAAAAAGGCAATAAACAAAACACGTTTACTCTCATGGAGCTTACATCCTAGGGGAAAAAATGATAATTAATAAATGTAAGACAATATAATGTACTATCATAGATGTTGTAAAGTAAATATAAAGAAAAGTAAGAAGAAACAGTAATGGAATAGGGCATACGTTTTAGATCAGATGGTGAGGGAAATGTTCTCTGAGAAGATGAACTTAACAAAGTCATATGAATGAAGTGAAGAGAGTGACTAATATGGATAATTTGATTTTATTATTTTGTAATGCACAATGGCTTCTTGGGAGAAAGTAATATGATGTCTCAGGTCCAGGTGAAAGAAGTAGCTTTGTATAGAGGAATGTTTGTGAATGTTTCTTCCTTAGGTTTAAGACTCCCCACATACCAACTTTATTTTTAGTCCTTTCCTAGACAGCCTTCTTCCACTATCATAAAACCTCACTTCCCCATAAGAATAATACAGTGTTTTTTTTTTTTCAGAGGAAAAGATGCAGTTGATTATGAGTGTGTCACTTTTGCCCTTTTGAGAAAGTGTTTGTTATAAAGTGCCCCACTTTTTATGTCATATGCCATTAATATGCACTAGCCACTTAAAATTCTCCATCTCAATTGAGATGCTCCCAAACCTCTGAGCAACAAACTTTGGTGTCTCCTGGAATCTCCCACATTCAGCTAAAGAAAAGACTGCATAAATCCTAAGAATTTTCTCTAGAACTAGGTAACTATACTACAATAACAAAAGAGAGTTCGAACATTTTTCAAAGATGAAAGGAAATGCAGGACTTCTGAATAGGAATAAACCACAATAAAATCACTCTGCAAACTAAAAAAAAAAAAAAAAATTGGGGGAGAAGAATGCAGTCCAAAGTGTGTTTTAAATTTAGTAAGTTACCTCTAATAATGTAGTAAGCACTCACAGTTTCAACATCCAAAACTAAACTTAGGCCTTGATAATAACTTAACTTACATTTAATTATACCCTTCTCCACTTCAATCTACTTCCCTGGGTCACTTACTATCAATCTCATTTTCATTGTTCCCTTGCTTTCTTTTTTATTTAGGTTTGCTGCATTTAAATGTCTTCTGAATGTTGGTATAGAAATAAATATATAATTCTCTTTAATAGGCATAAAATTTGTATCACTTAATATTTGCCATTTTAACCACTTTAAAGTATACAATTCACTTACTTTTAGTATACTCACTGTGTGCAAACATGACTGTCTAATCCTAGAATATTTTAATCAAAATATAATTGAGGCTGGGCGCGGTGGCTCACACCTGTAATCCCAGCACTTTGGGAGGCCAAGGTGGGTGGATCACTTGATGTCAGGAGTTCGAGACCAGGCCTGGCCAACATGGTGAAACCCCGTCTCTACTAAAAATACAAAAATTAGCCAGGCATGGTGGCGCACTCTTGTAATCCCAGCTACTCGGGAGGCTAAGGCAGGAGAATCTCATGAACCCGGGAGGTGGACGTTGGGAAAAAAAAAAAAAAAAAAAATAAGTGAACCATGTACCCAACCCAATAAGCAATCACTGCTCATTGGTCCCTCTCCCTCTAGTGCCTGAAAGTTATTAATCATCTTTTTGTCTCTATAGATATGGATATTTTTAAAAATGATATAATATGTAACCCTTTTGTCTGTCTTCTTTCATTTAGTATAATGGTTTCATGTTTTTAAAATGTAGCATGAATCAGTATTTTATTAATTTTTTTGGAAGAATAGTATTCTATCTTATGGATACCACATTTATTTAGTTACTCACCAATTTTGATGGATGTCTGAGATATTCCCACCAACTGGCTTTTGTTTATAATGCTACTTTTATGAACACTTGTGCATAAGTTTACATGAGGACATTTGTTTTTATTTATTTTGGGTGTATAGGAGTAGAATTGCTGGTTCATATGATAAGGCTGTGTTTAACTTTTTGAGGAATTGTCATACAGTTTCCCAAAGTGGCTACATCATTTTTTATTTATACCAGAAATACATGAGGGTTCTAATTTTTCCATGTTTACCAATAATTGCTATTTTCCACGTTTTTTATGACTTCCATCACAGTAGTGTTAGGTGATATCTCACTATGGTTCTGATTTGCATTTGTATTATGAATAATAATTTTAAGCATTTTTCATATACTTATGCACTATTTTTATATCTTATTTGAGAGGAATGACTATACAGATATTTTACCTATTATTAACTGGGTTATTATTTTTTTATTTAATGTGCACTGCTAATCCATAAGCCTTGGTGGATCCCATATGCTGTTGAGCCTGTGGGTGCACAGAGTGTTAAGAGTCGACAGCTGGAAGCCTGTGCCTAAACCTTATAGGATGTAGGATAAAGCCTGCATGTCCAGGAAGTACCTGCAGGGGAGAGGTAATCACAGAGAACCTCTACCAGGGCAATGTGGAGGGAAAATGTGGGATTGGAGACCTCACACAGAGTGCATACTGGAGCACTAACTAGTGGAGCTGTGAGAAGAGGGACACAATCCTTCAGATCAAAGAATGGTAGATCTACTGACAGCTTGCACTCTGTGCCTGGAAAAACTGCAGCCTCTCAAAGCCACACCATGAGAACACTTGTGGGGGCTAAACCCTGCAAAGGCACAGGATTGAAGCTACACAAGACCTCAAGTGTCTACCCCTTGCAGCAGCGTGCTGTGGATGTGGGACATAAAGTCAAAGGAGATTATGTTGGAGCTTTAAGATCTACTGAGTTCTCTGCTGGGATTCAGACATGTGTGGGGACTGAGCCTCCTTTTTTTTGTTCAATTTCTCCCTTTTGAAATGGGAGTATTTACCCAATGCCTATATTCCCATTGTATTTTGGAAGTAAATAATGTTTTTTTTTTTTTTTTTTTTTTTGGTTTTACAAGTTTATAGGTAAAAGGGACTTGCCTTATCTCAGATGAGTTTTGGACTTTGGGCCTGTGAGTTAATGCTAGAATGAGTTAAGATTTTTGGAGGATGGTTGAGAAGGTATACTTGTATTTTGCAATGTGAGAAGGACATGGGATTTAAGAGCGATCGGGCTAAAATAATATGGTTTGAATTTGTGTCCCCACAAAATCTCATGTTGAATTGTAATCCCCCAATGTTGAAGGTGGGGCCTGGTGGGAGGTGATTGGTTGAGTGGTATAGCACCTTCCCTTTTGGTACTGACCTTATGATAATGAGTGAGTTATTGTGTGAGCTGGTTATTTAAAAGTGTGTAGCCATCTCGCCTTTCACTCTTGCGCCTCCTGCTGCCATGTAAGACATGTCTGCTCTCCCTTGACTTTCAGCCATGACTGTAAGTTTTCTCAGGCCTCCCCAGAAGTTGAGCAGATGCCAGCATTATGCTTCCTGTGCAGCCTGCAGAACCATGAGCAAAATAAAACTCTTTTTAAAATAAATTACCCAGTCTCAGGTATTTATTTATAACAATGCAAGAACAGCCTAATACAACAGACAAGTGACACTATAAAGCAATAGCACAAACAAGTTTGCATAAAAACCACCTAACAACATGATGACAGAATCACATCCACAAATATCAATATTAAGCTTGAATATAAATCAGCTAAATGCCCCAATTAAAAAACATAGAGTGGCAAGGTGGATAAAGAACTAAGACCCAATGGTATGCTGTCTCCAATGGATCCATCTCACATGCAATCACACCCACAGGCTTGAAGTAAAAGGATGGAGGAAAGTCTACCAAGCAAATGGAAATCAAACAACAAAAAAAGCAGGGGTCTCAATTTTAATTTCAAATAAAACAGACTTTAAATCAATGAAGATCAAAACAAACAGAAGAAGGAATTCAATAATAATAAAGGGATCAATTCAACAAGAAGACCTAACGATCCCAAATAAATGTGCACCAAACACAGAAGTACTCAGATTCATAAAAGAAGTTCTTAGAGACCAATGAAGAGAGACTTAGATTTTTACACAATAATAGTGGGAGGCTTCAACACCCAACTGATAGTACTAGACAGATCATGAAGGACAAAAATTAACGAAGATATCCAGGACTTGAACTAAGACAAAAATTAACAAAGTTATCCAGGACTTGAACTAAACACTTGACCAGATGGAAATAATAGATATCTACAGAGCTCTCCACCCCCAAACAACAGCGTACACATTTTTCCCATCAGTACATGGCACATAATCTAAAGTCAAACACACAGTTGGGCATAAAACAATATTCAGCAAATTAAAAAATAATAAAATAAAATCATACCAACACCACCCTCAGACTACAGCACAATAAAAAAAATTCAAAATGAAGAAAACTTCTGAAAACCATACAGTTACATAACAATTTAACAACCTGCTCCTGAATGACTTTTGGGCAAATAATTTAATTAAGGAAGAAATCAAGAAGTTATTAGAAAGTTAAAAGAACAAAAATATGACATTCCAGAATTTCTGGAACTCAGCTAAGGCAAGGCAGTATTAAGAGGTAATTTATTTACTTATTTATTTTTTGAGATGGAGTCTCGCTCTGTCACCCAGGCTGGAGTGCAGTGGTGCGATCTCAGCTCACTGCAACCTCTGCCTCCCTGGTTCAAGTGATTCTCCTGCCTCAACCTCCCGAGCAGCTGGGACTACAGGTGCACACCACCATGCCCATCTAATTTTTGTATTTTTAGTAGAGATGAGGTTTCACCATATTGGCCAAGCTGGTCTCACACTCCTGACCTCGTGATCCACCCACCTTGGCATCCCAAAGTGCTGAGATTACAAGAAGAGGGAAATTTATAGCCCTAAATTCCCACATCAAAAAGCTAGTAGAATCTCAAATTAACAACTTAACATCATAACTAGAACAAGAGAAGCAAGAGCAAACCAACCTTAAAAGTAGCAGCAGACAAGAAAAGAAACAAAATCAGAGCTGAACTGAAGGAAACTGTGAAACAAACATAAAAACATACAAGTGCAGTGGCTCACACCTGTAATCCCACCCAGCACCTTGAAAGGCTGGGATGGGTGGATCACCTGAGGTCAGGAGTTTGAGACCAGGCTGGCCAACATGGTGAAACCCCATCTCTACTAAAAATAGAAAAAAATCAGCCAGGCGTTGGGTGTACAACTGTAATCCCAGCTACTCAGGAGGCTGAGGCAGGAAAATTGCTTGACCCCAGAAGGGGGAGGTTGCAGTGAGCTGAGATCACACCACTGCACTCCAGCCTGGGTGACAGAGTGAGACTCCATCTCAAAAACAAAACAAAACATACATAATATCACCAAATTCATAAGTCACTATTTGAAAAAAAATAATAAGATAGACCACTAACTAGATGAATATAGAAAAAGGAGAGAAGATCCAAATAAACATATTTAGAAATGACAAAGGGGATGTTACCACTGAGCTTAAAGGAACGCAAGTAACTATCAGACACTACTATGGACACCTCTATACACGCAAACCAGAATATCTGAAAAAATGGATACATTCCTAGAAACATTCACCCTCCCAAGACTGAACAAGAAAGAAGCTGAATCCCTGAACAGGCCAATAATGGGCTTCAAAATTGAATCAGTAATAGTGTATCAACAACAACAACCAAAAAAAAAAAAAAAAAGCACAAGACCAAATGAATTCACAGCCAAATTCTACCAGATGTACAAAGAAGGGCTGGTATGATTTCTACTGAAAGTATTCCAAAAAACTGAGAAGGAAGGCCTCCTTTTCAAGTCATTCTGTGGAGCCAGTGTCATCCTGATACCAAAACTTAGCGCACACACACACACACACACACACACACACACATACACACACACACTTAAGGGCAATATCCTTTATAAACACGAATGCAAAAATTCTCAATGAAATGCAAGCAAACCAATTCAGCAGCACATCAAAAGACTAATCTACCACAGTTAAGCAGGATTTATACCTGGGATACAAATTTGGTCCACCATATGACTGTAAATTATCATTAAATTTGATTCATCATGTAAAAATAAAGACCAGGACCACATGATTATCTCAATAGAAACAGAGAGGGCTTTTGATAAAATTCAACATCTCTTCATATTGAAAATCCTTAATAAAGTGAATATTGAAGTAACATACTTCAGAATAATAAGAGCCATCCATCTATGAGAAACCCACAGCCAACCTCATACTGAATTGTCAAAATCTGAAAGCATTCCCCTTGAAAACTAGCACAAAGTAAGGACGTCCTCAACTAATTACATAATATTTGAGGTTCTGGGAAGAGAAATCAGGCAGGAGAAAGAAATAAAAGGCTTACAAACAGGAAGAGGGTAAGGCCAACTATTCCTATTTGCAGATGACATGATTCTATGTCTAGAAAACACTATAATCTCTTACCCAAAACTCCTTGAGCTAATAAACAACTTCAGCAAAATTTAATAATACAAAATAAACATGCAACAATTAGTAGCATTCCTCTACACCACAAGATCCAAGTTGAGAGCCAAATCAAGAAAGTGATCCACTTACAACTGCCACGAAAATAATAACATACCTAGGAATAGAGCTAACCAGGGAGGTGAAAGAATTCTACAAAAAAATTTACAAAATATTGCTCAAAGAAATCAGAGATGACACAGACAAATTAAAAAAACCTTCCATGATAAAGGGTAGCAAAAATTAATATTGTTGAAATGGCCATATTGCTGAAAGCAACTACAAATTTAATGCTTTCTGTATCAGATTACCAATGACATCCTTTACATAACTAGAAAAAAACTATTTGAAAATTCATATGGAAACAAAAGGACCCCAAATCGCCAAGACAATTCTAAGCAAAAAGAACAAAGCTGGAAGCATCATGTTACCCATATTCAAACAATACTACAGGACTACAGTAACCAAAAGAGCATGCTGCTGGTACAGAAACAGACATATAAACAAATGGGATACAATAGAGAGCCCAGAAATAATGCTGCACACCTACAATTATCTGATCTTTTCCTAAACAGGTGAAAACAAGCAATGGAGAAAGAATTTTCTGTTCAATAAATGGTGCTGTGATAACTGTCTAGCCATATGAAGAAGAAAGAATCTGAATTCCTTCCTTACACCATATAGAAAAAATCAAATCAAGATGAATGGATGTTTGGATAGAGATGATAATAAAAAAAAAAACAATCAAGTACTATGCTTAGTACCTATGCGATAAAATATTCTGTACACCAAACCCCTATGACATAAATTTACTAATGTGAAAAACCTGCACATGTACCCCTGGACCTAAAGGTTGAAAAAAGAAAAAAAAATTAAAAAAAAATCAACATGCCCTACACTAATTCTTTAGGACCTATTTCTCCTTTCAAAATGAAACTTTGTACTTTTTGATCAATATCTCTCAATTTTCCCCCACTCCCCAGCAACTAGAAACCACCCTTGTAGTCTCTGAATCTATGAGTATGACTTTTTTGTGTTCCACACATAAGTTCAATATCTGTTTCTCTCTGCCTGGCTCAATTCACTTAACTTAAGGTCTTTCAGGTTCATCATTTTCTTTTCATAAAAGACATAAATTTCATCAAATTAAAGTTTGAATAATATTCTACTGTGTGTATACATTATATACAGATGTACATATATATGTTAATATTTTTATTATCCACTCATTCATTGGTGGACACATATGTTGATTCCATATCTTGGTTATTGTGAATAATGCTAAAATGAACATAGAAGTGCTTATGTCTCTTTGACGTACTGTTTTCATTTCCATTGGATATATACACAGAAGTGGGATTGCTTGATCATGTGTTAGTTCTATTTTTACTTTTTTTTAGGAACTATCATACTTTTTTACAATAGTGACTATAATAATTTACATTCCCACTGACTCAGTTCATTTTGTATTGCTATAACAGAATGCCCGAGACTCGGTAATACATTATTTTTAAAAAGTTGTATTTATCTTACAGTTTTGCAGGTTAGGAAGTTCAAGGTCATTGCCTGGTAAGTTCTTCTGTGGTGCGTCATAACATGGCAGAGATGGTCAGAGATGAGGCAAACACATGAAAAGAGATGAAATCTGAGGGACATCTTGGATTTATAAAAACCACCTCTAGCAGAATCTAATGTATTCCCACAGTAACTAATCCAGTGTCACCAGAGCAAGAACTCACTCCCTACTTCCAGAACAGCACCAAGTCATTCATGAAGTATCTGCCTCCATGACCCAAACACCTCCCACTAGGCCCCACTTCTTACCATTGCTACACTGTGGATCAAATTTCAATATAATTTTTTGGTGGAGAAAAACAAACCATATCCAAAACACAGCACCCACACACAGTTTACACAGCTTGTCTTTCCTCCAGATCCTCACTAATACTTATCTTTGGTCGTTTTGATAATAACCATCCTAGTGGATGTAAGGTGGTGTTGACTTGAATTTTCCTTGTGTTTTGTCAAATGTTTTTTCTGCATGTATTCAGATGATATAATTTTTAGACTTCATTCTGTTGGTATGATGTATCACATTTATTGATTTGCATATGCTTCTTGAGCCATCCTTGAACCCCAGGGATAAATTTCACTTGATCATGGTGTATGATTATTTTAATGTGCTGCTGAATTTGGTTTGCTAATAATTTGTTGAGGGTATTTGCATTTATGTTGTAATGGATAATATTAAATGTCAACTTGATTGAATTGAAGAATGTAAAGTATTGTTTCCGAGTGTGTGTGCGAGGTGTTGCCAGAGGAGGTTAACGTTTGAGCCAGTGGATTGGAAGAGGGAGATCCACCCTCAGTGTGGGTGGGCATCATCCACTTAGCTGCCAGCAAGGCTAGAAAAGGCAGGTGGAAGAAGGTGAAATAAACTGTCTTGCTGAGTCTTCTGGTTTTCATCTTTCTCCTGCTGGATACTTCCTGCCTTTGAACATCAGACTCCAGGTTCTTTGGCATTTTAACTCTTGGACTTTCACCAGTGGTTTACCAGTGGCTCTTGGGCCTTAAGCCACTTACTGAGGGCCGCACTGTTGGCTTCCCTACTTTTTAGGCTTCGGGGCTTGGACTGAGCCATTACTGGCTTCCTCGCTCCTCACCTTGCAGACAGCCTGTCGTCAGACTTCGCCTTGTAATCGTGTGAGTCACCTTAATAAACCCCCTTGCATATATACATATATCCTATTAGTTCTGTTCCTCTGGAGAATGCTTACTAATACAAATGTTCATGAGAGATACTGTCCTGTAATTTTCTTTTCTTGTGGTATCTTTATATGGCTTAAATGTGAAGGTAATTCTAGCCTGGAAAAATAAATACAAAAGTATTTTTTCTCTTTACTTTTTAGGAAGATATTGGGAAAGTTCAGTATTAGTTTTTAAAATGTTTGGTAAAATGTAACTGTGAAGCCAATAAGTTTTTTTTTTCTTTCCTTTGCTGGAAGACATTTTATTACCGATTTAATCTATTACTTTTTATTGGCCTGTTCAGATTTTCTATTTTTCTGTGAGTCAATATTTGTTTGTTGTATATTTCTAGGAATTTATACATTTTATCTACGTAATCCAATTTGTTAGTATAAAACTGTTTATTTTACTCTTCTATAATTTACAATTTATTTTTTGTGGTATCAGTTATAATGTCTATTCTTTTATTTCTAGTTTTATTTATTTGAATATTTGTTGTTATTAGTATAAGAGTCTGTCAACTATGTTTATCTTTTCAAAAAATAAACAGTTTAATTGATTGTTTCTATTGTTTTTTCTATTCTACTATTTTATTTCTGTTCTGATCTTTGTGATTTTCTTCCTTCTCTTTACTTTGGACTTAGATTTTTTTCTGCTTCTTTGAGATGTAAAGTTATGCTGTGTATTTGAGATTTTTTATTTTTTTGATGTAGGCATTTATTACTGTAAATCTTCCTCTTAGAACTGCCTTTGCTATATCTCATAAGATTGGTATATTGTGTATTCATTTTTGTTTGTCTCAAGATTTATTTTGTTTCCTCTTTGATTTATTTTTGAATCAATTAGCTGTTCAAAGGTAATTTGTTTAAATTAATTTTCTTTAAATTTTCAGGACTTCTTTAGCTGTTAATTTTTTGTTTTATATTATTGTCATTGTAAAAGATACTTCATATGATTTAAATGTTCTTCAATTTATTAAATCTTGGTTGTGGCCCAACATATGAAGTATCATGAGGAATGTTTTAGTGCACTTGAGAAGAGTATGCTAGGGTGCTGCAAGAAGATCAAGTAGAAGGCTTTACCAATCAACCCCTTGCATGAACACCAACTTTTAACAACTATCCACACAAAAAGCACCTCCATCAAACCAAAGTTTATTTGAACAATAACAATATCTAGCTTTAAATTTATATCATTGAAAGAGGCACTGAAGAGGGAGAAAAGACTGTCTTCAATTGCCAATGCCTCCACTATCCTCTCCCCCAGCAGTGGCTACATGGCAAAGAGAATCTGTGGAGAAGAATTGGTAAAGGGAGAACTAAGTGACTGGGAAAGGTTGCATTGAAGTCTCTGCTGCACTGTTACAGAAGAAAACAAAACCATGCTGAAATCAGACAGTAGCCACCCACAGAGGGAGCATTTGAACCAGCATAGGTAGGGGGACAGTCAGAACTCGAGTTTTGGCAAACCTTGCCACCATGAGTTAAAGTGCCCTGGGGTCCTCAGTGAAGATGAAAGGCAGTCTAGTACACAAGGACTGCAATTCTTAGGCAAGGCTTCATGCTGTGCTGGGCTTAGAGAAAGTGGACTGGGACAGTGTGTTACCTAGTAAGACACCAGATGGAGTCAATGGGGTAGCGCCTGCACTACCCCTCCTCCAACCAAAGGAAGTGAAGCTCACAGCAATTAAAGTGATTCATTTCTTCTTCTTGAGGAAAGGAGAAAGAAGAGTAAAGAAGATTTTGTCTTGCACCTTGGATATCAGCTCAGCCACAGTATGACAGGGCACCAGACAGAGTCATGAGGTTCCCATCCCAGGGTCAAGCTTCCAGATGAATTTTTAAACAAACTCTGAGCCAGAAGGCAACCTGCTGCATTGAAGGAAAGAACACAGTTCTGGAAAGGTACATCACTAGCTGACTAAAAAGCCCCGGGGCCCTAAATAATCAACAGTAATACCTAGGTACTACACCATGGGCCTTGGGTGAGACTGAGATGTGCTGGTTTCAGGTACCAGCTCAGCCACAGTGGAGTAGAGCGCAAATTAGGCTCTTGGTGTTTCTGAGACAAGTCCCAGGGTCTTAGACTTCATTTCCGGACCTGTCCTGGGCAACAGGGGCCTTGAAGGGTGACTCTGAGGCCTGGCAACATTCACCATAAGCTGACTGAAGAGTACTTGGGTCTTAAGTAAACACTGGCAGGAAAATGAAAGAACTGCTCACGGGCCAATGGTGGTGATGGCCATGGAGAGAAGCTTCTTTGCTTTTAGAAGGGGGAGGAAAGAGCTGGAATGACATCTTGTGGTTTGAATGCCAGGTTCACCATAGTAGAATAGAACACCAGGTAGATTTTTAAGGTTTTATACTTCAATCTCTGGCTTCGAGACAGCATCTCTGGACCCACCTAGGGCCTGGAGGAACTTGTCACACTGTAAAGAAGGACACAAAACTGACTGGCTTTGCACTCTGCTAATTGTAGAGACCTCGGTCCTTGAGTGAACACAGATGGTAGCAGGTAGTGGTTAGAGTGGACTGTGGTTGAATCCCTGTGATATGCTGGCTTCAGGTCTGACCCAGGGCAGATTCAGTAGTGGTGGACACAGGGGTGCTTGTGTCACTTCACCCCTATCTCCAGGCAGCTCAGCACAGGGAGAGACATGCTGTTTGTTTCTATCCAAGACAACCAAGGTGATACCTCTAAAAGCCTGCAAGAACCACAGCGTCACTGGACTGGGAGACCAAGTCAGTTTGAATACCTGGAAAGCCTTCCCCCAAAAGATAAGCACAGATTGTGAATGCCAGATTTTAAAGACAACAACAAATAGTTCACTCATCAATGCCCAGAAACCAATAAATGTCTACAAGCACCAAGACTAGCCGTGAAAACATAAACTCACAAAATGAACTAAATAAGTCACCGTAAACCAATCCTGGAGAAACAGACATAAGACCTTTTAGACAGAGAATTCAAAAATATCTATTTTGAGGAAACCCAAAGAAATTAAAAATAACACAGTGAAGGAATTCAAAATTCCATGAGAAAAATGTAGCAAAGAGATTGAAATAATTAAAAGAATAAAGCAGAAAATCTGGAATTGAAAAATGTAATTGGCATAAAAAAGAATACATCAGTCTCTTAATGGAAGAATTGTTCACACAGAAGAAATAATTTGTCAGAAGAATCAAAAGAAGAAAGTATATAAAATAATAAAGCATGCCTAGGGATCTAAAAGATATCCTCAAAAGGGCAAATCTAAAAGTACTGGACTTAAAGAGGGGGTAGAGAGAGAGACATGGGTAGACAGTTTATTCACAGGGATAATAACAGACAACTTCCCAAACCTAGCCAACAATATCAACATTCAAGTACAAGAAGGTTATGGAATACCAAGCAGATTTAACCCAAAGCAGGCTACCTCAATGCATTAAATAACCAAATTCTCAAAGGTCAAGGATAAAAAAGAATCCTAAAAGCAGCAAAACAAATGAAATAAATAACATATAGTGGAGCGCCAATACGTCTAGCAGCAGACTTTTTGGTGGAAACATTAAAGACCAGAAGACGGTGGTATGACACAGTTAAGGGCTGAAGAAAAAATTGTTTACCATACAATAGTACATCCAGTGAAAATATTAATCAAACATGAAGGAGAGATAAAGACATTGCCAGAAAAAGAAAAGCTGAACAATTTCATCAACACTAGACCTGTTCTAAAAGAAATGCTAAACAAAGTTCGTCAATATTGGAAAAAAAGCATAATGAACAATAAGAAATTATCTGAACGTACACAACTCACTAGTAATCATAAGCACACAGAAAATCACAAAATATTATAACACCGTAATTGTGGGGTACCAAACACTCTTATCTCGAGTAGAAAGACAAAGTGATATACGAATCAAAAATAATAATTACAACAACTTTCTAAGATATAGTCAGTATAAAAAGACATAAAGAGAAACGACAAAAAGTTAAAAAGTGGGGAAATAAAGCATTTGAAAAAAGTCCCTTCATGCTAAAAATCCTAATAAATTAAGTTTAAGAGGGAAATATCTAAAAATAATAAAAGCCATGCCCACAGCTGGTATACTAAATGGGGAGAAACTGAAAGACCTGGTAAAAGATGAGGATGTCCGCTTTCACAACTGTTATTTAACGCAGTACTGGAAGGTCTAGCTAAAGCAATCAAACAAGAGGGAAAAAATCAAGGACATTCAAACTGGAGGGAAGAAATCAAATTATTCTTGTTTACAGGTGACATAATCTTATATTTAGAAAAACTAAAGACTTTAACAAAAAACTACTAGAATTGATCAACAAATTCAGTAGCTTTTCTGGATATAAATCAACATAAAAATTCGATTGCATTTTTATATGCCAACACTGAATAATCTGAAAAGGAAATAAAAAATGTAATCACATTTACAATTGCATTAAAAGCTAACCTAAATAACATTAAAAACCTAATAAGTTAACTTCACCAAATAAGTCAAAATTTCTACAATGAAAATTATAAAACATTAATAGAAGAAATTGAAGAGGACACAAAAAATGGAAAAAAATTATTTCATGTTCACAGATTGAAAAAATAAATATGGTTGAAATGTTTATACTACTGAAAACAAGCTATAGATTTAATGCAAAACCCATCAAAATACCAATGGCATTCTTCACAGTAATAGAAAAATATATGGAGCAACAAAAGACCCAGAATAACCAAATCTATTCTGAGAAAAAAATAGCTAAACTTGCAGAATCACATTACCTGACTTCAAATTATACTACAAAGCTTTAGTAAACAAAATACCATGATACTGGCATAAAATCAGACACATGGGCCAATGATAAAGAATAGAGAATCCAGAAACAAATCCAAATCCATACATTTTCAGTGAAATCATTATTGACAGAGGTGCCAAAAACATACATTGGGGAAAACACAGTCTCTTCAAGAAATTGTTCTGGGAAAACTGGATGTCCATAGGCAGAAGAATAAAACTAGACTCCTATCTCTCACCATATACAAAAATCAAACAAAATGAATTAAATACTTATATCTAAGATTTGAAACTATGAAACTACTACAAGTAAACATTTGGAAATGCTCCAAGACTTTGGTCTGGGCAAAGATTTCTTCATTAATACCCTGCAAGAACAGGAAACCTAAGCAAAAATGAACAAATGGAATCACATCAAGTTAAAAGCTTATGCACAGAAATGGATGCAATCAACAAAGTGAAGAGACAACCCACAAATTGGGAGAAAATATTTGCAAACTACCCACCGGACAAAGGATAAGTAACCAGAAAATATAAAGAGCACAATGAACTCTATATTAGAAAAAAAAATCTAATAATCTGATTAAACAATGGAAAAAAGACCTGAATAAACATTTCTCAAAAGAAGACACACAAATGGAATACAGGAAAAGTGCTGAAATCCCTGATCAACATAGAAATGCAAATCAAAGCTGCAATAAGATATCATCTCACACCAGTTGAAGTATCTTTTATTCAACAGAGAGGTAATAACAAAGGTTCAGGTGGATGTGGAGAAAAAGGAACCCTCATACACTGTTGGTGGTAATGTGAAGTAGTAAAGCCACTATGGATAACAGTTTGGAGGTTCCTCAAGAAACTAAAAATAGAGCTACTATATGACCCAACAATCCCACTGATAGCTATGTAACAAAAAATAGAAAAATCCGCATATAAAAAACATACTCTGCACTCCTATGTTTATTGCAGCAGTATTCACAATAGCCAAGATTTGGAAGCATCTAAGTGTCTGTCAACAGGTGAATAGATAAACAAAATGTGGTACATACACACAATAGAGTACTATTCAGCCACACAAAAGAATGAGATCCTATCATTTGCAACAACATGGATGGAATTGGAGGTCATCATGTTAAGTGAAATAAGCCAGGAACAAAAAGCCAAACTCTGCATGTTTCCACTCATTTGTGGGAGCTAAATATTAAAACAGTTGAATTCATGGAGATGGAGTGTAGAAAGATGGTTACTAGAAGCTGGGAAAGGTAGCAGTTGGTGTGGGGGTATCTTCTTTCTAAATATAGTTAGAAAGAATAAGACCTAGTATTTGATAGTAGAGCAGGAAGATTATCATAAATCATAATTTAATTGTACATTTTTGAAGGAAATGAAAGAGATGATACCAGCAGGCTGGTGTCTCCTATTCTGGCATCTTACTGATGTCACCTTAGTTAGGTTTTATGTAGGGTATATGGTAAAGGTACAACTTTATTCTTTTTTATGTGGATACACAGTTGTTCCAACACCCATACCATTTGTTGAACAGACTACTCATTCTCTATTAAATTTTCATGACACCCTTGTCAAAAATCAATTGACCATAAATATGAAAGTTTATTTCTGTAGTCTTGATTATATTCTATTTAGATGTCTATTCTTGTTCCAGCACCACACCATTTTGAATCTTGTACCTTTTAGTAAGTTTTGCAACTGGTAAGTGTGAGTCCTCCACTTTTGTTCTTTTTCAAGATTGTTTACACTATTCTCATTCTTTGGCACTTTCTTTTTTCTTTCTTTCTTTTTTTTTTTATTTTATTTTGAGACAGAGTCTCGCTCTGTCGCCCAGGCTGGAATGCAGCAGCATGATCTCGGCTCACTGCAACCTCTGCCTCCTGGGTTCAAGCGATTCTCCTGCCTTAGCCTCCTGAGTAGCTAGGACTACAGCCACGTGCCACCATGCCCAGCTAATTTTTGTATTTTTAGTAGAGATGGGGTTTCACCATGTTGGTCAGGATGGTCTTGATCTCTTGATCTCGTGATCCAACTGCCTTGGCTGCCCTAAGTGCTGGAATTACAGGTGTGAGCCACCGTGCTTAGCCTCTTTGGCATTTTCATATGAATTTTAGAATCAGCTTGTAAATTTCCGCAAAAAATAAAAGCCATCTGAGATTTGGATAGTGATTGCACTAAATCTGTAGATCAGTTTGGGTAATATTGCCAACTAAACAATATGAATTCTTCCAATCCATAAACATGGGGGTATATTTCCATTTCCTTAGGTATTCTGTATATATATATATTTTCAATAATATTTTGCACATCTTGGTCTTTCACTTTTTAAGTGACGGAGTCTCACAGTGTTGCCAAGGCTGGAGTGCAGTGGTGTGATCTCCGCCCACTGCAACCTCTTCCTCCTGGGTTCAAGCGATTCCACTGCCTCAACCTCCCGAGTAGCTGGGATTACAGGCACCCGCCATCACGCTTGGCTAATTTTTTGTATTTTTAATAGAGACGGGGTTTCACTATTTTGGCCAGGCTGGTCTTGAACTCCTGACCTTGTGATCTGCCCGTCTCAGCCTCCCAAAGTGCTGGGATTACAGGTGTGAGCCACCATGCCTGGAAACTTTTTTTTTTTATTCTTTTTGATGCTATTGCAAATGGGATTTTATATATTTATTATTTATTGCTAGGGTATAAATATACAAATATATTTAATTTTAATATGTTACCCTGCAATCTTACTGAATTCATTTATTGGTTCTGACAAGTATTTAGTTGTTGTTAGAAATGTCGTGTAGACATTTCTATATATAATATGTAATCTGCAAATATAAATAGTTTTACTTCTTTAATCTGTATGAATTTTATTTCTGAAAATAACAATTTTGTTTTTAAACCCATCGCACTCTGAGTTCTTTATATTTAACAAATATTTTCTTAGCTTAACACTTTTCTCTTACATTTTATTACAAACAGCAAGAAGTTGCCAGAAGTCACTTTCTTCATTTAGTCTGGAAATCTTCTTAGTTAGATTATCCATTTCATTTGCTGCATTTTCTTCTTTCCACCTGGCCATAGAAGAATAGAAGTTTAACTTTCCCCTATTCTTCAGTTTCAAACTACCTTAAGAGATTATTGTTTAGGTTATATATGGTGAGATTAATAAGAAGCTACAATTACAGATTTAGACATTTTTCCAAAAAGTTTTGGTAATTCTATAGCTTATTTACTTCTAAATTTCAAATGTAAAATTGAATCATATGGTCACGATTTATAGCATGACACCCACATGATATAACCTTTGGAATATTTTCCATTTTATTCTCAGATAGACAATGGAATCACCAGCCAAGTCAGGAGTTTAAGAGACTTAAGAGTGGTTTGGACTTTCAGGTGGAGTTTATTTATTTTAGGGGGATGTTGAACCACTTACATATGTAAAAAAAGAAGATGGTAATTTTGAAGTAAAATTCTGAAAAGACTTTAGCTGTTTTTTCATTTATTTACTTATTAGGAATACTTACATTGAATTGTATGCCTGCCATAGAGTTTTTATTACCACTAGCCAGTTTTGATGATTCTGAGTTATTATAACAATAACAATGATGACGATGATAAGAATAATTGCATAAAATAAGGGAATTGAAGTCAGTGATGGGTTAAAAAATTATGACCCCTTTTAATTGGTATGTAATTTGGCACCATTCCCGTCATTTCTACAGCCTTTGTGTTTCACATATTTTGTACTGGTTCAGTGGCACAACTTTGGGTTTTATTTGGAGAGCGGTGATTCACAGAGGCTCATTTCTAACTACATATTTATCCCTCAGGGATAGCAAAATTAGCTCTTCAATGTAAGGAGAGGGACTTGACCAGGCATAAAGTTCTAATGTGCACTGATTTCCTTGAAATTTTACATACAGGTGTAGTGGTTGTAACAAGTAGGATAATGTGAACAGTTTAGCCTTTGACAAAACTGTAAAACAAGTTTGTCTTGGCCTTTTTTATTCTCTTCCTATCCCTATTCTTCTTCCTACATCCTTTTCTACTTTTACATCTCCCTTACTCTTATAAGTGATGAAATTTTCTCATACTCTTTTTTGACTACTGGGCCCCACAGTGTAGACTCATAAACAGGCCAAATCTCTATGGGCATATATTACTGTTCCAGATCTTTCTGTTCTTTCCACCATAAAAAACTTACGTTGCCTGGGTTTTAGTTCATTGATCCTCATTATGTGGCTGGTTAGCATTCTAAAAAAGTTACTCAACAAATTCAATTTTAGGTATACAGAAGTTCAATCTTAGGTATAAGTAGAAAATAACACCATCCTTGATGTAGCGAATGAGACCCATAGTTACCTGGCCTTAGTATTCTATTTTTCACGTGCCTAGACTCATGTCTTTTTACCCTTACTGTCTTCCCAAATTTCTCTAGACCAGGAAATCCCAGCCTTTTGATAATTAAAATGTCTCTGGCAGCTGCCTGAAATGGTATCCATAATGTCTTTCTCTCTCTACAAACCAGTGTGCCATTTCTGTCTACTTATAATTTAGTATTAATTCATTCTGTCACTGATTAGATAATTTTCTCTGGTAATTCACTTCTTTAACAAATACTTATTGAAGATACACTACATGACTTAGAACTATGCTGGGCATCATGAAAGATGCTCCAAAGAATCATGTAATAATATTGATGATAAAAATTACAATAATAGTCACACTTGAATTATATACATTTCATAATGTAAAAGACTTTCTCCTATTCATGGTATTACTTTACTTATTTAATTACTTTACATATTTATTCAACACATTTTTTGCTGATCCCCTAATATATTACAGGCACTGTGCAAGATGTTGAAGATACAATGGCAGGCAAAAAGGACTTTTCTTAAAGCATACAGGCTAGTGAGCCAGATCTAAACAAATGAGAATAGATGTAAACATATAATTATAATCTGTGATAAATGCTATTAAAATTACATAGTATTATAATAGTATGTAATGAGAGTTCAAATTAATCTTTGTTCATGTAGGACCATTGAATGCCTCTCTGAAATACTGACTTGTGACCTTATGTCTAAGAGTTGAGCTATGTGATTGTCTGAAGTTAGGAGGACAATGAAGGAAAGAAATGAGGGACTAGTATGTACCAAAGTTCTGTAGTCAGTTGGGGCACGATGTAAGATGATAACGCAATAAACCATGCTAGGGTGCTTTTCCCTTTATAGTGAAAGCAATGGGCACCCATTGAAAAGGTTTAGGCAGGGAAGCAGCACATGTATTTGCAATTTGAAAATATCACTCTAGATTGAACACAAAGAATAAACTTGGATAGGAGATACCATGAAAAATGGAAGACTAGTTAGAATGTTACCACAGTAGTTCAAGTTAGAGATATTTGTTGTATAAATTAAGGTAATAGTCATGGAAATAGAGAGAGAGTGCAAATTTGTGAGATGTGAAGATATTCTTCACCATCATTTTGTGAAGTGGACAGGGAATGTATTAGTATTCTTACTGCATAGATTAGAAAATGAAGCTTAAGAGACATTCAGTTACTTGCCCAATGTCTTATCGATAGGTCTTAAATAGTGCAGCTGGGTCTCATATCCACGTCTTCTGAATGTCGCTTCAGTCCACTTTCATTTTACAAAGTAATATGAGATATAAGACATTTCCACACTAATGTGTATATTTTTACCTCTTTAGGCAGGATAAAATGTTGAGAGTGATCTATGTTAGATTTAAGATGGAAAATAGAGGATGGAGAGATTGCATAGAATTTACTGGACTACAAATAACCAATTTTGGAATCCATGGTTGCTAAAGACGAGCTATGAGATTTTTCTCAAGTTAGTTGACCACTCTGTGCCTCCCTTTCCTCATCTATTCACATAAACAGAATGCTAGTTTTGCAAAATGGCATAAAATTCAAGATATATCTAAATAATTTAATGATGTTTTAACAAAATTGCCTCTATAGCTAAGGTTTGTGTTCAGACAATGAAGCTTAGTTAACAATAAAAGTAGATGAAAAAAGTTTTGAAAATGAAAAGAACTTAGAGAATATAGGCCAGACTGAAATAATGACAAATAGCATTACTTTCTGGTGAAGGAGAAAAGACAAGCTTTTGATCTTTCTTGAAGTAAACACAAGCCTCTAGTATGTAATACTACCATTATTGAAAAAATTATAATTGCCTATAAATAGCCACTCTTATCTTCTCAATTAATAACAGAATCCTGATTTTTAAGAGGATAGTATTGCGCTAATGAAAACCTACACTTTTCTGCCTTCTTGCAGATAGGATTGGCTAATGAGAGATATAAGCGTGCATTTTGGAAAAGTTCCTTGAAAGGGGAAGAATATCTGACTCTTCCAAAGATGCTTTTTTACTTGCCCTATTCCTTCCTGATACTTGAAATGTAACTGTGTTCACTAGAACTACAGCAATAGTCTAGTGACCATAATACATATTTGAAGCTAGAGCTGATAATATGGAACAAGTAAACACGCTCTCGAGTGTCTACCCGTAGAATACATTTTGTGTGTGTGTACTGAAAAAAATACATCCCTACAACTTGCTTATGCCACTGATTTTCCAGTTTTTTTTTTTCCTAAAAAAAGGTAATTTCTTAGCAATTTCATCCTGGAGGCAAAATAATATGCTTCTAGGAAACATGTGCATCAAGTTCCACCCAATTCGAACTTCTCAGCGGCTTTGTTTATTCTGTGTGGGGAAAACTGCCTACTTATGCCTCAGTAACGGTGAAGCCCCTCCCACCACTAAGCTGGAGTGTCCTAAGTGGACTCCAGACTGCTGTGCTGGCAGCGAGAATTTGAAGCCATTGGATCTTAGCTTGCTGGGCTCCGTGGGGGTGGGATCCGCTGAGCAAGACCACTTGGCTCACCGGCTTCAGCCCCCTTTCCAGGGGAGTGAACGGTTCTGTCTCACTGGCATTCCAGATGCCACAGGGGTACAAAAAATAACTCCTGCAGCTAGCTCGATGTCTGCCCAAATAGCCTCCCAGTTTTGTGCTTGAAACACAGGGCCCTGGTGGTGTAGGTACCCAAGTGACTCTCCTGGTATGCAGGTGGTGAAAACTGTGGGAAAAGCATAGTGTCTGAGCCGGATAGCACCGTCCCTCACAGCACAGTCCCTTATGGCATCCCTTGGCTAGGGGAGGGAGTTCCCTGACCCCTTGCACTTCCCAGGTGAGGCAACAGCCCACCCTGCTACTGCTCACCCTCTGTGGGCTGCACCCACTGTCTAACCAGTCCCAATGAGATGAGCTGGGTACCTCAGTTGGAAATGCAGAAATCACCTGCCTTCAGCATTGGTCTCACTGGGAGCTGCAAACCAGAACTATTCCTATTTGGCCATCATCTTCACTTATACTTTTTTCTAGAAATTTTATAGTTTAGGGTCTTATATTTAATCCTTTAATTCTATTTTGAGTTGACTTTTGTATTTGGTGAAATAATGGTTTAGTTTTATTTTTCTGCATATAGATATCAAGTTTTCCAAGCATCACAAATTAAGAAGGATGTTGTTTCCTCAGTGTATGTTCTTGGTGCCTTTGTTAAAAATCAGTTTGTTGTAAGTATGTGGATATTTTCTAAATTTTCTGTTCTGTTGCATCTGTCTATGTGTCTGTTTTTATACCAATACCATGTTGTTTTGAGAATTATAGGTTTGTAGTGTATTTTGGAATTAGGTAGTGTCATGCCTCCAGCTCTTTTCTTTTTGCTCAGTATTGCTTTGGCTATTTGGGTTCTTTCCGTTTCTTTTTGTCCTTTTCAATTTATTTTGTCACTTCTTTGTAAGGATCTTTTACCTCCTTAGTTAAATTTATTTCTAAGTATATTTTGTAACTATATGGGATTGATTTTTATTTCTTTTTTAGCTAGTTTATTATTGTTTTATAGAAATGCTACTAAATTTTGTGTATTGATTTTGTATCTTGCAACTTTACTGAAGGAATTTATCGGTTGTAAGTGTATTTTGGTAGAGGCTTTAGGTTTTTCTATATATAGACCCCACCATCTGCAAAGAGGGACAGTTTGACTTTCTATTTTCTATTTTACAATTTGAATGCTTTTATTTTCTTATCTTGCCTGATTACTCTCACTAGGAATCGCAGTATTATTTTGAACAAGAGTGGTGAGTGTGGAAATACTTGTCTTGTTCTAGTTTTTAGAGGAAAGATTTTCAGCTTTTCCCCATTCAGAATGATGGTAGCTATGGGTTATTCATATATGGCCTTTATTATGTTTATGTATGTTCTTTCTATGCTTATTTTGTTGATAGTTTTTATCATGAAGGGATGTAGAATTTTATCAAATGCTTTTTCTGAAGTTATTGAGATGTTCATATTGTTTTTGTCCTTTATTCTGTTGATGTGATATATCACATTTTTTTATTTGTATATGTTGACTCATTCTGAAATCCCATGTGTACGTCCTCTCTATACTATAATCCATTGTATTTTGGTAAGAATGTTAGTGTATATGTTCATCAGGAATATTTGCCTGCAGTGTTTTATTGTTTGTTTGGTCATTTTGTCCTCGTCTGCTTTTGGTATCAGGGTAATGTTCTCTGCATAAAATGACCTAGAAATAATCCCTTTCTCTTAACATTTTTGGGAATAATTTGAGAATAATTAGTGTCATTCTTCATTGTAAGTTTGGTAAAATTTAGCTGTAAAGCCATCTAGTCCTATACCTTTCTTTATTGGGAGATATGTTTTACAGATTCAGTCTGATTACTTACTGTTGATCTGTTATACTTTTCTATTTTTTTCTGATTCAATCTTGTTAGGTAGTATGCATTCAGAAATTTATACATTTTTCTAGGTTTTCTAAATGGTTAGCATATAGTTATTCATTATAGTCTCTGATGATCCTTCATATTTCTGTAGTATTAGTTGCAATGTGTCCTTTTTGATTATGGTTTTATTTATTTGGGTTTTCTCTCTTTTTCTCTTGAGTTGTCTAGCAAACAGTTTATCAATATTGCTCAGTTTTTTAAAAATGACTTTTCCTTTTGCTGAGTATTTGTCATTTTTATTTATATCTTGTTTAGTCCTTTTCTAATTTTTATTGCTTCTTTTCTTCTACTACTTTATATGTATTGTTCTTGATTTTCTAGTTCCTTAAAGTAAAATGATAGATTGTTTATTTGAAATCTTTGTCCTGTTTTGATGTAAGGTTATTTTTTTCTATAAATGTCCCTCTTAGCACTGATTTTGCTGAATTTTATAGGTTTTGGTATTATTGTGTTTCCATTTTCATTAGTTTCAAAAATATATTATTTCCTATTTAAATAGTTTTTTGATCAATGGCTGGTCAGGAGCATGTTGTTTCATTTCCTTGTTTTTGTACAGTTTCCAAAGTTCTTCATGTTATTGATTTCTAGTCTTATTCCATTGCAGTCAGATTAGATGCTTGATATAATTTTGATTTTTAAAATTTTTTTAAGTCTTAATTTGTGTCTTAACATATGGTCTTTCCTGGAGAATTTGTCCTTTGCTGATAAGAAGAATGTTCATTCTGCAACTGTTGGATAAAATGTTCTATAAAGGTCTGTTAGATCCATTTAATCTAAAGTACAGTTTAAATCCAATGTTTATTTGTTGATTTACTGCCTATATAATTTGTGTAATGCTGAAAGTGCGGTGCTGGAGTCCCCAATTATCATTGTGTGGGACTCAATCTCTCCCTTTAGATCTAATAATATTTGCTTGACATATCTGGCTGCTTCATTGTTGGGTGCATATTTAGATTTGTTAAGTTATACCTTCATGCTGAATTTGTTATTATATAATGACACTCTTTGTCTTTTTTATTGTTTTTGAGTTAAAGTTATTTTATCTTGTATAAGTATAGAGAATCCTGCTCAATTTTGCTTTCCATTTGTGTGGAGGTCTTTTATATTACATTCATTTCTGTCTATATGCATACATATATATATGTATATATATATGTGTGTGTATATATATATTCTTTTGAGACAAGAGTTTGCTCTGTCACCTGGCCTGGATTGCAGTAGCACAATCATGGCTGAAGGCAGCCTTGAACTCCCAGGCTCAAGCAATACTCCCACCTCAGCTTCCTGAATAGCTGGGATTACAGTCATGTGACACCATGCTTGGCTTTTTTTTTTTTTTTTTTTTTTTTTTTTGTAAAGAGAGGCTCTCCCTATTTTGCCCAGGCTGGTCTTGAAATCCTGGACTCAAGTGATCCTTCCATCTATGCCTACAAAACTACTGGAATTACAGTATAAGCCAGTGTGCCTAGCCTGTCTATGTGTGTTTCTATAGGTGAAGTAAGCTTCTTGTAGATGATAGTTTATAGTTGAGTCCCTTTTCTTTATCCATTCAGCCAGTCTATAACATTTAAGTGGACAATTTAATCCATTTACATCCAAGGTTATTATTAATAGGTGAGAACATATTCCTGTCATTTTTTTAAATTTCTGGTTGTTTTCTATATTCTTGTCAGATCCTTTCTTTTTGATTATTGTTGCAATTTTGTGGCTTTCTGTAGTGATATTTGAGTTCTTTCTCTTTCTAATTTGCACCTCTTCTCTTCCTGAAAGTTTCTTAGTTTTGTGCTTTTTCCTGATGATAGACATTGTTTTGCTTCCAGAAGTACAACTCTCTTAAACATTTCTTGTAGAGCCAGTCTAGTGGTGATAAATTTCCTGAGTTTTTATTTGTCTGGGAAAAACTTTATTTCTTCTTTATTTTTGAAGAGAAGTTTAATGGGTATCATATGCTTTGGTAGCTTTTATACAATTCAAGTATTTGATCACTTCATGATGTCTCATAGGCTTTATTTATTTTTTATTCTTTTTTTTTCTTTTTGCCTTCCTGAGTTAATTCAAAAATCCTGTTTCAAGTTTAATTTTATTTTTGCTCAGCTCAATCTATTTTATTCTTGAAGCTCTTAATTGTATTTTTAATTTTATTCATTGACTTGTTTAGTTCTACAATTTCTGTGTGGTTCTTATTTGTAATATCTTTGTTAAAAGTCTCATTTTGATTATTTCTTTATTCATTTGTATAGTTTATCTGTGTTGCTTTATGTCTTGCTGAAATTCTTTAATATTATTTTGAACTATTTCTGTGGGTTTTTGTAATTTTTTAATGGAATCTGTTGCTGGAGAATTTTTATGTTTCTTTAGAGATGTCATGTTTCCTTGCTTTTCAGTTTTTCTGGTGCCCTTACGTTTATATTCGCATATCTGGTGTAACAGTTGCTTCTCTAAATTTTATTGGTTGGGTTTTTTCCGATAAGGCGTATTTCTTTCTTTCATTTTTTTATTTTTAATGAGATGGAGTCTCACTCTGTCACGTAAGCTGGAGTGCGGTGGCATGATCTCGGCTCACTGCAGCCTCCGTCTCCCAGGCTCAAGTGATTCTTTCACCTCAGCCTCCCAAGTAGCTGGGACCAAAGGTGCAGGCTACCACATCTGGCTAATGTTTTGTAATTTTAGTAGAGACGTGGTTTCCCAGGCTGGTCTTGAACTCCTGAGCTCAGGCAATACAGCTTCCTTGGTCCTCCCAAAGTGCTGGAATTACAGGCATGAGCCACCCAACTCGGCTGGTAAGACTTTTTCTATTGATGTATCTATAATGTTGGCTGGATGAGATACTTTGGGTTTGATTCTGGTTGACTGCAGTAGTGTATTCTGCATATAATTTGTTGAGCTGTAATTAGTGACAATGATGTCTGCGATTTTTTCAGTAGCTTAGGCTGTGTGTATTATTAGCGACTATGGTGAGGCTTTGTTGTGGACAGACCTGACAGGTGAGCCAAGTTTTGGGCTTCAGTTGTGGTGGAGGCAGGGCTGAGGATACAGGTCCTTGGGGCAACAGGTGGTATACACTTGCACCAATGGTAGCAGATCTGAGCAAACTAGTTTTTGACCCTCCAGGGGGCTATCTTGTGCTCTGGTTGTGGCAGCAGTGGGCTGGGCAGGTTTGTGGGTCCCAGAACCCCTGGGAAACATGTGTGGCATCAGCAATGGCAGTAGTGGTTAGGAGCCAAGCCTCATAACCCCAGGAAGCAGGCATATGTAGCAATGGTGGAAGCAGTGGGTTGTCTGAGTAAGTCCCCAGACTCCTAGATGGCACATGTTGGTGGGTGCTGGAGGTGGTGTCACTGGCTGTCTGGATGAGCCCATCCTCAAGCCACTGGGAAGAGCATACAGATGTCAGCAGGGTTGTGCAGAGCAGGTCAATTTCCAAGACCCCTTATAAGGCGTGTAGGCACTGGAAGGCTGAGCTGGCCAATTCTCAGGCACCCCACATTGTTAATATAAACATTAAATGCTTTAAGTTTTTCTTTAAGCACTATGTTGACAGCATCTGATGAATTTTGCCATGTTGTATTTTAAGTTTATAATATTTTCACATTTTCTTTCAGACTTACCCTTTACTGTTTTTTTTGTATTTTTTATTGTGGCAGAATTTTTTTTAATTCATCATCTTAAACATTTTTCAATGCACAATTCAGTGGCACGAAATACATTCACAATATTGTACAAATATTACTATTATTAGTATCCAGGACATTTTTGTTTTTGAATGAAACTGCATACCTACTAAACAATAACTCCTCTTTCTACCCACCATTTAGCCCTTGACAACCACTGTTATAGTTTCTCTCATTATAAATATATCTATTCTAAGTACCTCATACAAGCGAAATAATGTAATATTGCACTGTTTCATCTGGCTTATTTTACTTAATATATTTTCAAGTTTCATCTATATTGCAGCAGATGTCAGAATTTTTGTTAAGACTGAATAATATTATACCATATAAATGTGTCCTACGTTGTTTATCCATTTACATCATCAATGGACATTTGGGTAGTTATCACCTGTAAGATATACATATTGTTGTGGTGAACATTGGTGCACAAATATCTGTTTCACTTCCTGTTGTTAATAATTTTAGATATACAACTAAGCAATTGAATAGCTGGATAATATGGTGTTCTAAGTTTAACTTTTTAAAAATAGTATAGGGGTATGAGGGACCCCATAGTATTTTTACAGTGATTATATCATTTTACATTTTGACTGGAAATAGACAATGATTGCAATTTCTCCACATCCTCTCCAACACTTGTTATTTCTGTTTTTTAATAATAGCTATTCTAATGGGTGTGAGATATAATCTCATTGTCTTGGGTGGGTGCAGTGGCTCACGCCTGTAATCTCAGCACTTTGGGAGGCCAATGTGGGTGTATCACTTGAGGTCAGGAGTTTGAGACTCCTTCTGTAGCAAAAATACAAAAATTAGCCAGGTGTGGTGGTGTGTGCCTGTAATCCCAGCTACTCAGTAGGCTGAGGCAGGAGAATCACGTGAACCCAGGAGGCAGAGGATGCAATGAGCCAAGATCATGCCACAGCACACCAGCCTAGGTGACAGAGTGGGACTCCATCTCAGAAAGACAAAAAAAATCTCATTGTCTTTTTTATTTACATTTTCCTAATGAGAAGAAATATTAGCCATATTTTTATGTGACTAATGGTCATCTGTATATTTTTATTGGAGAGATGTCAATTCAACTACTTTGCCCATCTTTAAATTGGGTTATTTGGTTTATTTTGTTGTAGAATTGTTAAAATTATTTTCATGTTTCATACTAATCCTTTATTGTTGTGGGAAGTCAGGGACGCCAAACAGAAGGACTGGCTGAAGCCACGGCAGAAGAACATAAATTGTGAAGACTTCATGGACATTTGTTAGTTCCCCAAGTTAATACTTTTATAATTTCTTATGCCTGTTTTTACTGCAATCACTGAACATAAATTGTGAAGATTTCATGGACATTTATCACTCCCCCAATCAATACTCATAATTTCCTATGCCTGTCTTTATGTTAATCTCTTTATTTAATGAATATAAGTGTATACTGATGATTTCTTTTTTTTAATTTTATTATTATTACACTTTAAGTTTTAGGGTACATGTGCACAATGTGCAGGTTTGTTACATATGTATACATGTGTCATGTTGGTGTGCTACACCCATTAACTCGTCATTTAACATTAGGTATATCTCCTAATGCTATCCCTCCCCCCTCCCCCCACCCCACAACAGTCCCCGGTGTGTGATGTTCCCCTTCCTGTGTCCAAGTGTTCTCATTGTTCAATTCCCACCTATGAGTGAGAACATGCGGTGTTTGGTTTTTTGTCCTTGCGATAGTTTGCTGAGAATGATGGTTTCCAGTTTCATCCATGTCCCTACAAAGGACATGAACAAATCATTTTTTATGGCTGCATAGTATTCCATGGTGTATATGTGCCACATTTTCTTAATCCAGTCTATTGTTGTTGGACATTTGGGTTGGTTCCAGGTCTTTGCTATTGTGAATAGTGCCGCAATAAACATACATGTGCATGTGTCTTTCTAGCAGCATGATTTATAATCCTTTGGATATATACCCAGTAATGGGATGGCTGGGTCAAATGGTATTTCTAGTTCTAGATCCCTGAGGAATCACCACACTGACTTCCAAACAAATTTACAAGAAAAAAACAAACAACCCCATCAAAAAGTGGGCAAAGGATATGAACAGACACTTCTCAAAAGAAGACACTTATGCAGCTAAAAAGCACATGAAAAAATGCTCATCATCACTGGCCATTCAGAGAAATGCAAATCAAAACCACAATGAGATAGCATCTCACACCAGTTAGAATGGCGATCATTAAAAAGTCAGGAAACAACAGGTGCTGGAGAGGATGTGGAGAAATAGGAACACTTTTACACTGTTGGTGGGACTGTAAACTAGTTCAACCATTACGTTAATCTCTTAATCCCATCATCTTTGTAAGCTGAGGATGTATGTTGCCTCAGGACCCTGTGATGATTGCGTTATCTGTACAAATTGTTTGTATAACATGTGTGTTAGAACAATATGAAATCTGGGCATCCTAAAAGAACAGGATAACAGTGATTTTCAGGGAACAAGGCAGATAACCATAAGGCCTGACTGCATGTGGGGCCAGGCAGAACAGAGTCATATTTCTCTTCTTGCAAAAGCAAATAGGAGAAATATCACTGAATTCTTTTTCTCAGCAAGGAACAGCCCTGGGAAAAGAATGCATTCCCAGGGGGAGGCCTCTAAAATGGCCGCTCTGGGAGTGTCTGTCTTATGCAGTTGTAGATAAGAGATGAAATACGCCCTGGTCTCCTGCAGCATCCTCAGGCTTGCTAGGATTAGGAAATTCCAGCCTGGTGAATTCTAGTCAGATTAGTTCTCTGCTCTTGAACCCTGTTTCCTGTTAAGATGTTTATCAATGACAATGCTTGCACAGCAGGACATGGAACCTCATTAGTAATTCTAATTTTGCCCTGGCCTTGTGATCTTGCTCTGCCCCCATTTGCCTTGTGATTTTTATTGCCTTTGAAGCATGTGATCTCTGTGACCCACACCCTATTCGTGCACTCCCTCCCCTTTGAAAATCGCTAATAAAAATTTGCTGGTTTTGCAGCTCAGGGGCATCACGGAAACTGCTAACATGTGATGTCGCCCCCAGAGACCCAGCTGTAAAATTTCTCTCTTTTGTACTCTTTCTCTTTATTTCTCAGACCAGCCAACACTTAGGGAAAATAGAAAAGAACCTACGTTGAAAAACTGGGGGCTGGTTCCCCCGATACTTTATCAGATATATGATTTGAAAACATTTTCTCACATTCTGTGGATTGCATTTTCACATTCTTTACTGTCCTTTAATTATCAAAAGTTTTGAAATTCAATGAAATCTGTCATATTTTTTTCTTTTATGCCAGTTATCTTTGTGTCATATACAAGTAATCTTTTTTAAATTCAATAGCATGAAGCTCTCCCCTATAACTTATTCAAAAGACTTTGTATTTTAGTTCTTACATTTAGGTATTTGATTTATTTTAATGTTTGTATACAGCATAAGTGAAGGGTTCAACATTGTATTTTCCATTTTGAATATTAAGTTTGCTAAGCATATTTTCTCTTTCAGATTCTAAGAATTTTATTTTATTTCCTAATTTTAGGGTACATAGTAGGTGTGTATATTTATAAGATACATGAGATATTTTGATACAGGCATGCAAGCAGTAATAATCACTTCATGGTAAATAAGGTATCTGTCACTTCAAGCATTTATCCTTCAAGTTAAAAGTAATCCAGTTATTGTATTTTAAATATTTTAAGTGTACAATTACATTATTTTTTACTATAGTCACCCTGTTGTGCTATCCAATGGTAGGTCTTCTTATATCCAAGTATTATTTTTGTATGCATTAACCATCCTCACTTCCCCCTACTCCCTTATTAACCTTCCCAGCCTGTGGTAACCACCTTTCTACTCTCTATGTCCATGAGTTCAATTGTTTTAATTTTTAGTTCTCACATATAAGTGAGAACATGTGAAATGTGTCTTTCTGTGCTTTGCTTGTTTTAATTAACATAATAAACTCCAGTGCCATCCATGTTGTTGCAAACATGGCTGAATAGTACTCCATTGTGTACATGTACCACATTTTATTTATCCATTCATCTGTTAATAAACACGTTACTTCCAAATGTTGGTTATTGTGGACAGCATTGCAACAAACATGGAACTTCAGATATCTTTTCAATACCCTGGTCTATTTTCTTTTGTGTATATATCAGGCAGTAGGATTGCTGGATCATATGGAAGCTTTATTTTTAGTATCTTGAGGAACCTACAAATTGTTCTCCATATTGGTTGTACTACTTTATATTCCCAACAACAGTGTACAAGGGTTCTTTTTTCTCCACATCCATGCCAGCCTTTGTTGTCACCTGCCTTTTGACTAAAAGACACTTCAACTGGTGATATGATATCTCATTGTAGCTTTAATTTGCATTTCTATGATGATCATTGATGTTCAGTGCCTTTTTATGTCTGTTTGACGTTTTTATGTCTTTTTTTGAGAAATGTCTAGTCAAATCTTTTGCCTAATTTTTATGTCAGATTGTTGTATTTTTTCCTATAGGATTGTTTGAGCTCCTTATATATTCTGGTTATTAAACCCTTTTCCAATGGGTAGGTTACAAGTATTTTGTCCCACTCTGTGTGTGGTCTCTTCACTTTGCTGATTGTATCCTTTACTGTGCAGAAGCTTAACTTGATGTGATCTCATCTGTCCATTTTTGCTTTAGGTGCCTTCGCTTATGGAGTGTTACTCAATAAATTTTTGCCCATTCCAATGTCCTTGAGAGTTTTCCCAATATTTTCTTGCAGTACTTTCATAGTTCGAGGTCTTATATTTAATTCTTAAGCCATTTTTATTTGATTTTTTTAGGTAGAGAGATAGGGGTAATTCTTTCCTTGATGTATGTTATTGGCACCTTTGTCAACAGTGAGTTCACTGTAGATGTATGCCTTTATCTCTGGGTTCTCTATTCTGTTCCACTGATTTATGTGTCTGTTTTAATGCCAGTAGCTTGTCATTCAGTTTACTAGAGCTCTGTAGCATAATTTGAAGTCCATTAATATGATTTCTCTAGTTTTGTCCTTTTTGCTTAAAATAGCTTGATTATTCTGGGTCTTTTGTTCTTCTATATAAATCTTAGTCTTTTTTGTCTGTTTCTGAGAAAAATGTCATTGGTGTTTTGATAGGATTTTTATTTTCATTGAATCTTTAGATTGCTTTGGGTAGTATGAATATTTCATCAGTATCAATGCTTCAAACCTATAAACAGAATATGTTTCCAATTTTCATGTGCTATTCAATTACTTGCATCAATTATGTATAGTTTTAATTGCAGAGATCCTTCCCTTCTTTGGTTAAGTTAAATTCTAGGTATTTAATTTTATTTGTGGCTATTGTAAATGCAATTACATTTTATATTTCTTTCTCAGATTGTTTGCTCTTGGCATATAGAAATGCTACCAATTTTTGTATCTTAATTTTGTAGCCTGCAACTTTACCGAATTTGTTTGTCATTTCTAATAGTTTTTTTTTTTTTGGTGGAGTCTTTAGATTTTGCAAAATATAAGAGTATATAATTTGCAAACAAGGATAAATCAACTTCTTCCTTTTCAATTTAGTTGCCCTTTATTTTATTCTCTGGCCTGATTGATCTAGCTTGGACTTCCAGTACTATATTGAATAACAGTGTTGAAAGTGAGCATCCTTGTTATGTTACTCATCTTAGAGGATAGGCTTTCTGGTTTTCTCCATTCAGTATAATACTTGCTATGTGTCTAATGTATATGACTTTTATTATTTTGAAATATATTCGTTATACATCTAGTTTTTTTCTGGTTTTTCTTATGAAGGAATGTTGAATTTTATCAAGTGCTTTTTCAAGACCAATTGAAATGTTTATATGATTTTTTATTTCATTCTGTTGATATAATGTATCACATTTATTGAATTGAGTAAGTTGAACCATCCTTGCATTCCTGGGATAAATCCCACTTGGTCATGATGAATGATTTTTTTAATGTGTCAATAAATTTAGTTTGCTAATATAATGTTGAAAAATTTGCATAAATGTTCATCAAAGATACCGGCTTGCAGTTTTCTTTTTGTAATATGTTTGTGTCTGGTTTTTGTACCAGGATAATACTGACTTCATATTCCTTACTCTTCTATTTTTCAGAATAATTTGAGTAGAATTGGTAATCATTCTTCTTTGAATGTTTGGTAACATTCAGCACAGAAGTCATCAGGTCTCAGGCTTTTTATTAAGGCTTAGAACATGTTAAGTATTACTGGTCTGTTTAGATTTTGGAATTCTTCCTGGTTTAATATTATTAGCTTGTATGTTTCTAGGACCGTATCCAATTTCTCTTTTTTTTCAAATTATTGGCATATATTTGCTCATAGTAGCCCCTAATGATCCTTTGTATTTCTGCATTATCAGATGTAATGTCTCCTTTTTCATCTCTGATTTTATTTATTTATTTTTTATCTTCTCTCTCTTTTTTTAGTTAGCCTGACTAAAGGTTTGCCAATTTTTTTATTATTTCCAAAATCAACTTTTTGTTTCCTTGATTGTTTGTAATGTCTTCATTTTAATTTTATTTATTTATATTCTTACATTTATTATTCCTTCTCTTCTACCAATTTTTGGCTTGATTTGTTTTTGATTTTCTAGTTCCTTACTTTAAATTCTTATGTCATTTATTTGAAATTTTTCTTCTTTTTTGATGTAGATGTTTACAGTTATAGACTTCCATATTAGTACTGCTTTTGATATATCTCATAGGTTTGGGTATATTTTGTTTCCACTATCATTTGTTTCTAGAAAATGTTCAAATTTTTTATTAATTTCTTCATTGACCCATTGGTCATTGAAGTGCATATTGTTTAATTTCCATGTATTTCTGTACTTATCAAAATTCCATTTGTTTATTTCTAGTTTAATTCTATTGTCATCAGAGAAAATGCTTGATATTATTTTATTTTTTTGAATGTTTTAAAACTTATCTTGTGACCTAACATATGGTCTTTCCTTGGGAAGAATCCATGTGTTGAATAAAAGAATATGTATTCTAAAATCTTTGAATGAAACGCTATATAAATTTCTATTAGTTTTTTTGATCCATAGTGCAGATTAAGCCTGATGTTTCTTGGTATATTTTCTATTATTATATTGGGGCCTATCTCTCTCTTTAGCAATAATAATTTTGCTTTATATATCCAGGTGCTCCAGAGTTAAGTGCATGTATATTTTAAATTGCTATATCCTCTTGTGGAATTGACTCCTTTATCATTATACAGTGACCTTCTTTTTCTCTTCTTATACTTTTGGTCTTGAAATCTACCTTTGCTGATATACATATAACTACTCCTGCTCTTTTTTGGTTTCCCTTGGCATGGAATCTCTTTTTCCATCCCTTTATTTTCAGTCTATATGTGTCTTTATAGGTGAAGTGTGTTTCTTAATAGGCAACAAATCACTGGGTGTGCTTTTTTAAAAATCCCTTTAGCCATACTGTGTCTTTTGGTTGGACAGTTTAGTTCATTTACATTCAATGTTATTATTTATAAGTAAAGACTTACTTCTGCATTTTGCTGTATATTTTATGGTTGTTTTATGGTCTTCTCTTCCTTTTCTCTTTCCTGTCTTCCTGTTCATGAAGATGATTTTCTTTGGTGAAATGATTTTCTATTCCCTTTTTATTTTTTGTATACCTGTTGTATGTTTTTTGGTTTCATGTTTACACGCCACAGTTACAGTGTTATAGCATTCTGTGATTTTCTGTGTACTTAATACTACCAGGGAGCTTTGTACCTTCATATGATTTCTTTTTGCTTATTAATGTCTTTTTCTTTCTGATTGAAGTATTCCCTTTAACATTTCCTGAAGAACATGACTGGTGTTTGAGAAATCTCTCAGCTTTTGTTTGTTTGATAAAACTTTTGTTTCTTACTCAGGTTTGAAAGATATTTTCACTGAATATACTATTATAACTTAAAAGTTTTTCCTTCATCATTTTAAATATGTCATGCCACTCTCTTTTGGCCTAAAATTTTCACTAGAAAAACTGCTGCCAGGTGTATTGGACTTCCATTGCTTGTTATTTGTTTCTTTTCTTTTGATGCTTAGGACGCTTTTCTTATTTTTGACATTTAGGAGTTTGATTATTACATGCCTTGAGCTATTATTCTTTGGATTAAATCTTCTTTTTCTTCTGTAACCTTCTTGTACTTGAATGTTATTATCTTTCACTACCTTTTGGAAATTCTCTGATATTATCCCTTTGTGTATACTTTCTGCCCCTATTTGTCTACCTCTTCTTTAAAACCAATAACTCTTAGATTTGCCCTTTTGAGGCCGTTTTCTAGATCCCATAGGTGTGCTTCTTTGTTTTTGTTGTTGTTGTTGTTGTTTTACTTTTTTTATTTGTCTCCTCTGGCCATGTATTCCATGTAGCCTGTCTTCAAGCTCACTAACTCTTTCTTCTGCTTGACCAATTCTGCTATTAAAGGACTCTGATTCATTCTCCTGTATGCCAATTGCATTTTTCAGCTCCAGAATTTCTGGTTGATTTTTAAAATTATTTTAATCTCTTTGTTGATTGTATCTGCTAGATTCTAAATTCCTTCTCTATGTTTTCTTGTATTTGAGTTTCCTCAACATAGCTGTTTTGAATTCTCTTACTAAAAAGTCACATATCTCTTTTTTCTCCAGGATTAGCCCCTGGTACCTTATTTATTTCATTTGGTGAGGTCATGTTTGCCTGGATAGTCTTGATACTTGTGAATGTTCATCTCTCTCTGGTCATAAAAGTGTTAGGTATTTTTTGTGTTCTTCACAGTCTAGGCTTGTTTTTATCTGTTCTTCTTGGAAGAGTTTCTAGGTATTTGACGAAACCGTGGTGTTGTTATCCAAGCCATATTCTCATTAAAGTGCACTCCAACCCAATAACACTGTGGTTCTTGCAGACTCATAGAAATACAACCTTGATGATCTTGCATAAAATTTTGAATAATTATCTGGATTACCAGGCAGAGAACCCTGCTCTCTTCTTTTTTCTCCCCTGCCCATCCCCGCCTCAAATTAAGTATTTCTCTCTGTTCTGATTCACCTGAAGTTGAGGGTGAGGAGAAACAAGCACCCTTTTGGCCACCAAACTGGAACTGCATTGGGTAAGATCTGAAACCAGCACAGCACTGGGTCTTTCCCAAGGCCTGCTGTAACCACTGCCTGACTATCACCTGTGTTCACTCAGGGCCCTAGTGTTCTGTGATCAGGGCATTTAGAAGCCAGGCAGGCTTGTTTCTTTCCCTTTAGGGTAGGTGAGATCCACCAGGCTCCCGGCAGATCCAGAGGTGTAATATGAAAGCATAGACTTGAGGCAAAATTTAATAAGTCTATGTGATATTATTTTGTTTTCTGGCTGAGCTGGCACTCAAACCACAAGAAGCATTTCTTCTCACTCTTTCCTTCCATTTCCACAGGCAGAGGAGTCTTACTCTGTGACCACCACCACCACAGGCTCATGGAGAATACTACCAGTCTACCGCTGATGTTTCCTTACGGCTCTAGGGTTCCTCAGTCAGCTGGTGAATGCTGCCTGGCCTACAATTTACCCTTTAGTGCAGTGGGCTCCACTCTGACCCAGAGCAGATCCAAAGAGTCTGTCCAGCAGCCAAGGCCTAGAATCAGAGACTCCAAGTGTCTATTTGTACCCTTCGGTGGCCAAGCTGGTACCTAAGGTGAAAGGCAAAGTCCCCTTTACTTTTCCCTCCACTTTTCTGAAGCAGAAAGAATCTTTCCTCATATCCACCACAGGTGGTAATGTGTTGAATCTCACCTGAATCCAGGAAGCATATTACCTGGGTATCACTGCTTGTTATTCAGAGCTCAATGGCTCTTTAGTCAGCAGGTGATGGGTCCTGCCAGATCCATGTCCTTCCTTTTAATGCAGCAGATTCCTTTTTTGTCCAGGGTATGTCTACAAATGTCATGTGGAAGCTAGGGCCTGAAAAAGAGGCCTTATACCTTTGGCCAGTGCCCTATCCTACTGTGGCTGAGCTGGTATTCAAGATGCAACAAAGTCCTCTTTACTCTTTCCTCTCCTCACATAGAAGAGATGAGTCACTTCTATTGCTGTGAGCTTTGCTGCATGGGGTCGGGGGAGGAGTGGTGCAAGCACTTGCTTAATTGACATGGCTGGTGTCTCCCTAGGTCACATTCCACCCTGGTCCACTGGCTCTAAGCCCAGTTCTACACTAGAACTTGCCTCTCAGTTTCAGCTTTTGTGGCTTTGACTGCCTTTCAAGTTTACTTAGGGCCCCAGAGCACCTTAGGTTGGGATAGCAAGGCTTGTGAAAACTCAATTACTCACCACTGGAATGGGCAATTTCCTTCTTGCTAGAGGTAGTTTAAATACTTCCTCCATGGGTGAAAATCACCTGAATTCAGCCCAGTTTTACTTTCTCTTGTGTCAGGGAAGCACTGAGTTCTATGCATTGTCTCACAATTGCTGCATTAGTTCTCTTCCAAGTGCACGGATTCTCTCTCCATGCCACATGGTCACTGCTGGGTGATGGGGAAGGGGTAGCATCAGTAATTTGAGATTATCTTTCCTATTATCCTCAGTGCCTCTTTTAGTTAAAAGCAAGTAGTGTGAGTAATCATCTGATTTTTGTTTTTTATGAAAGTGCATTTTTTTGTTTACATTGGTGTAAAATTTTTTGTTCTTGTGGGAGGGATGATTGGTGGAACTTTCTTTTGGCCATCTTGCTCTGCCTTCTAAGCATACTTTCTTAAGACTATACATTTTCCATCAAATGGTCTTGAAACTAAAAATTATTTACATATTTGGCGTTTTATTTCTGAGCTCTCTATTCTGTCATTGGTCAATATTGTCTGTCTTTATTCTACTACCACACTATCATGAAGAATGTATATTTTTAGTAAGTTTTAAAATCAGGAAGTGAAAGTTTTCCAACTTCATTCTTCTTTTTAAATGGTTTGTTGGCTATTTGAAGTGCCTTAAGTTCTCTTACAAATTTTAGAAATAGTTTTTTTTTTATTTTTGCTAAAAAAGTCATTGGAATTTTGATAGGAATTACATTGACTTTGTAGTTACATTTGGGTACTATTAATATATTAACAATATTAAGTCTTTTAATTCATCAAAGTGGAATATCTTTCCATTTATTTTTGTCTTTTTAAATTTTTTGCAACAGTATTTTGTACTTCTTAGTTTACAAGTCTGTTGACTCCTGTGTTAAATTTATATCCAAGTATTTTATTGTTGACCTCATCAATATGGTAAATGGAATTTATTCATTTAATTTATTTTGCTAGTGTATAGAATGCAACAGATGTTTGTCTGTTGATTTTGTATTGCAAATTTTTGCTAAATTTCTTTATTAGTTTTCAAAATTTTCATTTGAGGAGTCTTTGAAAATTTTTTACATAAAATATTATGTCATCTATTAACAGTAGTAATTTTTCATCTTACTTTTTAATTTGGATGACATTTATTTTTATTTATAATTGTTTTGGCTAAGACTTGACTATCATATTGAATAAAGGTAGTGAAAGAGGGAGTCCTTGTCTTATTCCTGATCTTAGGAAAATACCTTTTAGTCCTTTATTATTGAGTATGAGGTTAGCTGTGGGGCTTTTATACATGACCTTTTTTATATTAAGGTAGTTTCCTATTCCTAGTTTGTTGCTTCTTGTTATAAAACTTCTTGCTTTTTGTTCAATGTTCTCAAGCATTATTCAAGATAATAATGTTTTCCCTCTATTTGCTAATAATGTGTATTGTATTAAGTGATATTTGTTAAACTTCTTTTTACTCCTTGAATCAATTACATTTGGTCAGATGTATAATCCTCATAATATGCTGCTAAATTCAGTCTGCTACTATTTTGTTGAGGTTGCTTGCATTAGTATTAATAAGGGATATCAGCCTTTTTTATTTTCTTGCAGTGTCTTTCTCTGTATTTAGTATCAGAATGACGATGACCTTATAGATTATGTTACAAAGTGTTTACTCTTTCAGTATTTTGGATAATTTTTAAAGTATTTCTGGTCATTCTTCTTTAATGCTTGGTAGATTTCACCAGTTAAGTAATTTGGTTGAGAGCTTTTGTTTGGAGGTTTTCATTATTGATTCAATCTCTTAGCTAGCTGCGGATACTTATATTTTTATTTGTATTAATGAGTCTAGGTAGGCTCTGTATTTCTAAGACATTTTCAATGTAATCTAGACAATCCCATTAGTTGGCATAAAATATTTTATAGTACTTTAATATAACTGTGTTAAATCCTTTAATATCATTGGTAATGGCCCACTTTTATTTTTTATTGTGGCTACTGGAGTCGTCTTTCTTATTCTGTTGATCAACTAGGTAAAGATTTTCCAGTTTTATTGATAATTTCAAATAACCAACTCTTAGTTCTGCTAATTTTTTCTATTTTAAATTCTTTTTCATTATGTGTGCTTTGAATCTTTACTGTCTTCTTCTTTTTTCAAGCTTTGGGCTTAGTTTTTTATCTTGCTTACATAGTTTCTTAAGGTGCAAACTTAGGTTACTGATGTGCAATCTTTAATGTAATGTATTCATTGCAGTTATAAATTTTTTTCTTAGTACTGTTTTTACTACAACATATTCATTTTATTTTGTTGTATTTTTGTTTTCATTTGATTTAAGGTGTTTCTTGTATCCATGCTAATTTTTATTTTATAATTTGATTCTTCTAGAGTGTGTTGTTTAATTTCCACATATTTGTGAACTTTCTAGTTTTTCTTCTACTATTGATTTCTAGTTTCATCCTAGAATAATTGGAAAACAAACTTTGTATCACTTTAATCTTATATATTTTATTATGACTTATTTTTCAGTCCAATATATGGTCTATGAAATAGAATGTTCCATTTCATTTTTTTAAATGTGTGTTGTGTTTTTGCTGAGTAGAGTATTTTTGTGTGTGTCTGTTAGGTCTAACAGTTATATAGTAAGTTTAGTTTATTTGTTTTTGTATTCGTTTCTTAGCTGAATGCTTTTTCCATGACTGAATGTGGGTGTCAGTGTTTCCAACTCTTACTGTAGGGCTGTGTGTTTCTCTTTTCAGTTCTGTCAATTTTTGCTTTATATTTTAGAGGTTGCCTTGTTTGGTTAGTGTTTGTTTTTAATGGTTAAATTTTCTTGATATTCTAATGTTCTTATCAATGTGTAATGCCATTCTTGTGTTCTTGTGTCTTGTAGCAGTTTTTGACTTAAAGCCTATTTTAGGTGATATTTGTATAGCCACTCCAGATTTTTTTGTTACTATTGTCTGAAATATGCTTTGTCAATCTTTTAATTTTAACCTATCTGCACTTTTAGATCTATGGTGAGCTTTTCCTAGGAAGCATATAGTTGAATCATACTATTTTTAATTCGTTCTCCTAATCTCTGGCTTTTCATTTTAGAGCTGAATCCACTACTAATTAATGTAATTACCAATGGGAAATAACTTATTTCTGCCATGTAGATGTGTGTTTATTGTGTTTTACGGTCTTTTGGTTCTTAATTACCTCTATTACTGCTGTTTTTTACATCTAGTTAATTTTTTGGTAATTATTTATTTGATTGCAGTCTCATTTTTTAATAAATATTAGACAGATATTTCATTTGTGGTAACCGTAGTGATTACATGTAACATTCTAAGTTTAAAACAAACTAATTTCGATGTATACAACTTAATTTGAGTCATTTACAAGAAACTCTACTATTGCATAGTGCCATTTCTACCAACACATTTGTGATATAGATATCACGAGTTAGTTATATGTATATTGTGTACCCATTAACACAGTTTTATAATTATTTTATGCATTTGTTTTCTAAATATAGTATAAAATAAAAAATGGAGTTACAAAGCAAATTAAAGTAATACTGGCTTTCATATTCGGCCAAGTATTTACCTTTGTGATTTTTATATCTTCATGTGACTTTGAGTTACTCTCTTTCTTTCGTTTCAACCTTAAAAAATATCATGAAAACTTCTTACAGCACAAGACTATTGATCACAAACTGTCTCTGGATTTGAATGTGAATGTTCTAATTTCAGCCTCTGTTCTGAAGGACAGTTTTGCCTGATATTGGAATATTGTTTGACAGTTCATTTTGTCCTGTTAAGACTTTAAATTTATCATTCCACAACAGTCTGTTCTCTGAAGTTTTGAGAAATTGGCTGAAGATTTTTTTAAATGAGGCAAGTCACTTCTTTCTGATTTCAACAGGCCATCTTGTCTGTGCCTTTTAACAGTTTGACTATATATCTTTGTGTGAGCTTCTTTGGGTTTGTACTACATGGATTTTTTATTTATTTATTTATTTTTATTTTATTATTATTATACTTTAAGTTTTAGGGTACATATGCACAATGTGCAGGTTAGTTACATATGTATACATGTGCCATGCTGGTGTGCTGCACCCATTAACTCTTTTGTTGAGTTTTTTGAATTTGTAGTTTCATATCCTTTATCAAATTTGGGAATTCTGGAGATATTATTTATTTAAATAATATTTCTGTCTCCTCTTTCTTCTAGAATCCTCATAATGTGTATATTGTTATTATTGTCATGCTTTACTTTTTTTCAACAATTCCCTTAGGTTGTGCTCGTTTTTTTTTTCCTACTCTTCAGACTTTATAGTTTAAATTTTCCTACCTTCAAGTTTGCCACTTATTTTCTTTCCCTGTTAAAATATGTTGCTGAACTCTTTTGCTCAATTTTTAAATTTAGTTATTCAGTTTTTGGCTTTAGAATTTCCATTTGCTTTTTCTTATACTTTATATCCCATTGTTTATATTTTTATTTTTGAAGAATACTTTGCAAACTATAGAATTTATTTGACAGTTTTGTTTTTCCTTTCAGTATGCCATCCCACTGCTTTCCAGCCTCCATGGTTTATTATTAGTAATAATCTGTTATTCTTATTTAAGACCAGATACAAAGATTTGTGTGTGTGTGTGTGTATCTGGTAAGTCACTTCTCTCTATTTTCAAAATAATTTTTGTCTTTCAGTAGGTTGCTTATGATATGCCTCAGTTTAGATCTTTTGAGTTTATGGTACTTGGAGGTTGTTGAGATACTTAGATGGGTAGATTTAAACATTTCATATAATTTGTGATGTTTTTGGCCATTATGACTTCAAATATTGGTCCTCACTTATCTGACTCTCCCATTTTTCCTGGGACTCCCATTGTGTATATATCAGTAAAGTTAATGTTGTGTCATAATAATTTTGTTACTTTTGCTTCATAAATTTTCTGTTTCTTAGACTAAAAAATCATAATTGAACTTTCTTCTAATTTTTCCTTCTGCTTGCTATAATCATTTTAGTTATTATAATTTGAACTAAAGTGTTTGATTTCTTTTCATAATTTACATCTCCGTTCAAGTGATGTTGTTCTCATATTTTTAAATTATTTATGTATTACTGCTTTTTTGCCTATAAAACATATTTACAGTATATAAATAACTACTTAAAATAGCTGATTTTAAGTATATTTCTAGAAAGTTCAAAGATGAGTCTTCTTTAAGGTCTCTTTTTATTTATTGCTATCTTTACTCATAAATTTTGTTGATATGTGCAATTATAAAAATCTCATATGTATTAATTCAAGTCTTTACATGCCTTAATTTTTTTGGTTGTCAATTGGGCAATTTGAATATTATAATATGACACCTAAATAAATAAAATTCTCATCTGAAATGTTTGATGTTGTCCCATTTCTTGTTGCTTTTGATTAATAACCTTTTAAAATTGTATTTTATTTTTATGTATTTTATTTTTTCTTTTTTTGAGATGGAGTCTCACTCTGTTGCCCAGACTGGAGTGCAGTGGCACGATCTCAGCTCACTGCAACCTCTGCCTCCCAGGTTCATGCCATTCTCCTGCTTCAGCCATCCAAGTAACTGAGACTACAGCCATGTACCACTACACCCAACTAATTTTTGTATTTTTAGTAGAGACAGGGTTTCACCGTGTTAGCCAGGATAGTCTTGATCTCCTGACTTCGTGATCCGCCTGCCTTGGCCTCCCAAAGTGCTTCGATTACAGGCATGAGCCACCACGCCCAGACTGTATTTTATTTTTAATTGACAAATAATGATTGTGTATATTATGAGGTACAATGTGATGATCTGATACATGTATGCGTTCTGAGATCATAAAATTAAGCTAATTGGCATATCTATCACCTCAAATATTTATCATTTCTTTGTAGCATGAACATCTAAAATTCTATCAGATATTTTGAAATATATAATACATTATTGTTAACTGTAGTCATTTTTGAGGAAATCCCATGTTATTTTTCCAGAAAACAAAAAAATATATATATACCACAAAGAGTGTATAAGAGTTTACTTTTCTCTACATCTTTGCCAACACTTGTTAGCTTTTATCGTTTTGATAATAGTTAATCTGATACAGGATTGAAAAATAGAGCTGCAAACCTAAATAAGGAAGTTAGAAGCTCACGGGGGAATGGGGGTTAGAAAATTACATGGGGGTAGCTGTGAAGACAGAAAAGGTCTACCTGGGGACTATGCATTTCTAACATGGAGGCTCCATCTTTCTTTTTTTGTTACCTCATGTACAGGAACAAAGAAATGGGTAACATTGTGCAGCACAGGCAGAGAACCTGCCTACATAATAAAAGATTAGGGTGGGGGTTACCAGAAGTTTGCACCCTATGCAAATGGCACACCTGGTCTAACCAGCTTTTTGTGCCTTATGTAAATCAGACACCATGTCCTCACCAGCTCATCTATAAAACCCCCTGCATTTCACGGAAGACCAGCAACCAGTTTTTCTGGGACCCATCTCTGCAGCAGATAGTTATTCTCTTTCTTTCACCTACTAAAATTTCGCTCTCAAGCTCACTCTTTATGTGTCTCTGTCCTTGTCCTCTGTGGCCATGAGACAATGAACATTGGGTATCACCCCAGACAATGAGGCCATTTCATTGTGGGAGCTCGCTCGGGATCCAGGGTAGATTGATCAGAAGGGTGAGTATAGGAGTGTACCCCAACTCTTTACTTTCATTTCTAGGCCTTCTGCCCTCGATTTTAAAATCAAACTAAGAAATGGGTGTCATATGGTGAGTTAAGAGACCTTTAGGGTGACCACCATTCTCAAGACTCAGATGACAGGCTTACTGGGTATAACTTAGCAAATCCTCCCGTGCCCTCAGGGTGCTGTGAATGTCAGCTCGGTTTTGAACTGGTTTCTTTTTCATGGAGAGCCTAGCTGTTGCATTGGGCTGGAACTGACAGTTCCTGGCTAGAGCTACACCCCGGTGCTACCTGAAGGCTTCTGGACTTACCCCAACCTCTGAATGCCCATTGGGCATTGGCAACAGGATCTCCAGGCATTTTCTATCAAAATTTTTATTCTTTTCTTTCTGTGACCACCATTTCTCCTGTCCCCTCTCTATATGCAATGCTGCAAAAACTTTTACAGCTCAGGGACATAATCCTGTTAAGCAAAATTAGCAAATGCCATAGTAACCAAGGATACAGTTCAAGGGAATGCCATTTTTGTAATTTTCTAGGAACAGAGGGTCTCTCCACCCCCCAACCCAGTGAATGTATCACTTTCTACCCTTGTCTGAAGAGCAGGTGATATTTTAATGTCTATAGCACCACCTAGTAGAATATGAATCCTCTCCATGAGACACCTTGTCAGTCTTTTGCTGAAACACTCTAGTTTCCCAATTCTCCTCCCCTTTTCACCCCTCTACTGGAGAAGAGGACTTATGACTCTTCTGTGAATGGGAAAACTCTGTCTACAAAAATAAGGAGAAAAATGTCCTCTAAAACAAAATTTTCATCTCAATACTATTCCGTCAGCAGGAAGACTGCCATTCAGTCCCTATGTTCTTTTAATTCACCTATTCTGCCTCCAATTAAAATGTTATTTAAACAAGTAAGGGGATTTTATATCTGAATGTTAACCAGGGGCACTGCCTAAGAATAAATGCTTTAGTCCAGGCCATAATAGCAAAGTATGGAGCTCAACAGAGTATACTTTACAACTGTTACAATATGAACTAGCTCCTCCAGATCCAAGGCTAAGGTTTATGCCTGCAAACATGGGTGACACCTTTAGTGGATGCTGGAACCCAGGGAACCAAGGAGGGAAAACAGTTTGGGGGATGCTCCTGCTGTGTTCCTCTACACCAAGAGTCATTCCAAAGGAAAGGAAAGAAACTAAAGGGGCACCCTTTTCTCCCTTCCTTTTGTAAGTGTGTAACAGACCATCTTTGGCCTTCACTCCCCTTGAGTGCATTCTGAAGCACTGGGACTCCTTTTACCCCCAATACTTTGAAAAGCTCATTTTCTTTTGCAGAAGGATGTGGCCATCTTACCATCACGAATCAACCTGGCCAGCTGAGGGAAGCCATGATTTTAATGCTATCCAACAATTAGATATTTTCTGTAGATGGAAGGGCAAATGGTTTGAGGTCCCCTATGTACAGGCTTTCTTTGCCTTGTGAGACAATCCAGACATTAGCAAGCATTGCACAATCGACCTAGCTCTTTTAGCAGTCGTATCAGGCAGGCCCAAAGGGACTGATTCCCCCAAACTAGAAAAATAACTCCTGGGGTAACAATCTGAGGCACTTATTGAGTGTCCCAGCCCTTCCTGTCCTCCTTATTTGGGGCCCCCTTTAACAGCACCATCAGCTCCTCCAGTTTTACTACCTCCAAAACTCCCCATTCCCCCAGATTCACTCTTATCCCTACAGGAAATGCCCAATGGAAGTGATGTCACTAGAGTGCAAGTTTCCTTCTCATTGCAGGACCTAAGCAAATAGAGACATAGGTCAATCTTCTGATGACCCTGATAGGTGTATAGAGGCTTTCCAAAATTTAACTCAGGTGTTTGACTTCACATAGAGGAATGTTATGCTGCTCCTAAGCCAAACCCTAACCGCTGCTGAAAAACAGGCAGTTCTGCAGACAGCAGAGAATTTCAGACATGAGCAATATGTCTCCTATAGCAGACCAAAAAGGAAAAGTGAAAATAAGGAAGGTGACAAAATAGGGGAACAATCATTTCCGACAGGAAGAGACAGAGTACTTCTTCACAACCCTGACTCCACAGGTAAACGGAAAAGGAAACACTTTTTAATGAGCATATTGGAGGGCCTAGGAAGAACTAGGGCTAAACCTTGTAATTACTCTAACTGTCCATGACAGACCAAATGCCAGATGAGAATCTCTCAGCTTTTATGGAAAGGCTGAGGGAGGCACTAACAAAACACACCTCTTTATCCCCTGATTCAGTGGAGGGACAGCTAATACTAAATAACAAGTTCATTACACAGGGAGCTCCAAATATTAGAATGAAACTGCAGAAGCAGGCTACAGGACCGGATAGAACTTGGAAAGCCTCCTGATAGTGGCCACCTCAGTCTTTTATAATAGGAAACAGGGGAGACTCAAGAGAAAGAGAGGGAACACAAGAGAAAAACAGAGGCTCTAATGGCTGCTTTGAGGGCTTGCAAAGTACAGGATCCCCAAGGTGCATTCACTAATTGCTACCAGTGTGGCAAGTCAGGGCACTTTAAGAAAGATTGCTCAGGCAGCAAGAAGAAGCCACCTCGACCCTCTCCAACCTGTGGCAGGGACTACTGGAGGTCAGACTGCCTACAAAGATAGAGGTCACCAGGTTCAGAGATAATCTCACAGATAGTCCAACAGGACGGACAGGTCCCTAGACTCAGACCCCCAGCTCCAGTGGTTCAAACTGCCATTACTGCTCAGGGGACCCAGATTATTCTAGAAATTGAAGGAAGGAGGTGGACCTCTTTCTGGACACTGGATCTAGTCGCTCTCTTCTCTCTAACCCAGGCCTTCCCTCTTCCCATTGCATGACATTGATGGATGTCTCAGGGAAGATTATAACCCAATGTTTTTCTCAACCCATTAGTTGTAGTTGGGGGAACCTATTATTTACACATGCCTTACTAATCATGCCTGAAAGCCCCACTCCTTAATTAGGTAGAGACACTTTAGCTCACATGGGGGCCAGCATCCTTATAGCCATGGGACAAACTCTTTTTCTCTCCCTGGTGGAAGCTAGTATTAATCTAGAAGTGTAGGCAACTCAAAGAAGAATAGGTCATGCTATAACCACTAGGCCAATCTGGATCCACTTTAAGGATTCCTCTTCTTTCCCTAACCAGACAAAATATCCCCTAAAGCCAGAGGCTAGGAAAAAAATAGAAGCCATTATTAGTAACCTGAAAATGCAGGGCCTTCTCAAACCCTGTAACAGCCCCTGCAATACCCCAATATTAGGACTGAAAAAACCCAATGGGGAATGTAGACTAGTTCAGTACCTCTACCTCATTAATGAGGCCATAGTCCCAATTTATCCAGTGGTCCTTAATCCCTATACCTTGCTAGCTCAAATATTTGAGGGAACTAAATGGTTCACAGTTCCAGATCTAAAGGATGCCTTTTTCTGCATACTGTTACATCCTAACTTTCAATAACTGTTTGCCTTCAAAGATCCTTCTGGCCAAATCACCTAATTAAAATGAACAGTGCTGCCTCAGGGATTTTGATACCATCCTCACTTGTTTGAACAGGCACTGTCAAAGGACCTCTACAGGTTCTCCCATCCTCAGGCCAGGGTCTTGCAATATCTAGATGACATTCTGCTCTGTGTCCCAACTGAGGAAGCTTCTCAGAAAGGCACTGAAGCTCTTCTAAATTTCTTAGCCAAAAGAGGATATAAAGTTTCAAAGTCCAAGGCCCATCTTTGCCAAACTTCAGTGAAATATCTGGATTTAGTGTTGTCTGTAGGGACTAGAGCATTAAGCAAAGAAAGGTTTAAGCCCACATCTTCTCTCCCCCTCCATAAAACCCTCAAGCAACTAAGAGGATTTTGGGGCATTACAAAATTTTGCAGACTATGAAAACCTGGGTATGGTAAGATAGCTTGTTTCTTATATCAACTCATAAAACAAATTCAAGTGGCTAAAACCGATTTCCTAACATTGGAACCTGAAGCTCAAAAGGCCTTTAATCAGCTAAAACAAGCCTTACTTAAGTCACCCGCCCTCAGCCTTCCCATAGAGAGGGCCTTCAATCTTTATGTATCAGAAAGGAAGGGAACGGCCCTGCGAGTTTTAACTCAAGCCCTAGAACCACTCAACAGCCAGTGGGATACTTGAGTAAGGAACTTAATTTTGTGGCTAAAGGATGGCCAGCATGCCTCCAAGCAGTTACCACAGTGGCCTTACTGGTACAGAGGCCACCAAATTAACTCTGAGAAATAACTTACTTATCTGTTTATACCTCACATAATGTGCCCAGATTGCTGTCTTCTAGTGGGAACCTTCGGCAAACAGACAGCTGGCTCCTTACATATAGGGCTCTGATGTAGGCAGGGCCTACAATCCAATTAAAAACTTGCTCTCACCTAAACCCAGCCACTTTCCTCCTCAAGAAAACTGGGAAACCTGAACATGACTGTGAACAAATAGTGGTACAGACTTATGCAGCCAGGGAGGATCTCAGGGAAACTCCCCTAGAAAATCCGGACTGGACTCTCTTCACAGATAGAAGTTCCTTTGTGGACCAATGAGTCCTTAAAGCAGGATATACAATAGTTGTTGAAAGTGTGCCCCTCTCTCCACAAACAAGCCCTCAAATATCTGAACGGAAAGCTCTTACAAGGACACTTGAACTAAGCAAGGGAATGGTAGTTAACATTTACACTGACTCCAAGTATGCTTTCTTAGTTCTTCGTGCTCATGCTGCCATTTGGAAGGAAAGACACTTTCTTAATGCTAATGGATCCCCTATAAAATATCATCAGGAAATTAGCAGGTTATTATCCTCAGTTTTTCTTCCACGAGAAGTAGCAGTGATTAATTGTAAGAGACATCAGAAGGGAACAGATGAAATAGCCGAAAGATCAAGTTAGCTGATCAGACAGCCAAATCAGCAGCAAGAAAGCCTCAGGGACTCAATACATTTAAAGTCTCTCTAATTTGGGTTGGCTAAATAAGAGACATTAAGCCTCAGTACTCTGCTGTAGAGATAGAATGGGCCATCTCTCAAGGGTACATTTTCTAAGCCTCAGGATAGCTACAGTCAGAGGATGGCAAACTCCACTTGCCATCCTCCAGCCAGTGGAAAGTTCTTAAAATCCTCCACCAAGCTTTTCACTTGGGAAAAGACAAAACTTACCCGTGTGCCCAGAGATTGTTTTCGGGAGAGAACTTTACAAAAACAGTCAAACAAGTTGTTAATGCTTGTAAAGTCTCCCTTAAAAATAATCCCCTTAACAGACGGCTCTTGCTTCTCAAACCCAAAGGATGGGAAGCTATCCAGGGGAGGACTGGCAGATAGACTTCACCCACATGCCAAAGACGAAGGACATCCAATACCTCCTGGTATGGGTAGATACTTTTGCTAACTGGGTAGAAGCATTTCTATGCCACACAGAAAAGTCTTCTGAGGTAATAAAAGTGCTAATGAAATAACTTCCTGTTTTGGTCTACCTAAATACTTTCAAAGCGAAAACGATCCCTCATTTAAGGCAGCATCACACAGAAGGTCTCAAAGTCACTAGTCATACAATATAATCTCCATTGTGCTTGGAGACCCCAGTTCTCAGGAAGGGTAAAGAAGACAAATGATGTTGTCAAAATACAACTCGGAAAACTGTCCCAAGTAACTCACCTTCCTTGAGTCACTCTTCTTCCCATGGCTTTATTGTGGGTAAGAAATACCCCTTCAAAGTTAGATCTAAGGCATTTTGAAAGGCTGCATGGATGGCTTTTCTTTACCAGTGATTTCCTATTAGACCAGGAAACCTCTAAATTGGTTAAACATGTAACCTCTCAGACTCACTTCCGACAGGAGTTAACACAATTAGCAGAAGTCCAACCCCAAGAAATAGGACCACCTTTATTTAACCCAGGAGATTTGGTATTGGTTAAGGCTCTACCCTCTCGCTCTCCCTCCTTAAGCCTAAGCTGGCAAGGGCCTTACACTGTTCTTTCAACCCCTTCAGTAGTAAAAGTTAGAGGAATCAACTCCCGGATACATCACACTCCAGTCAAAGCCTTGAAAGCTGAGAGAACAGCCCCGGATGGCCCAAAGGAACATCCTGGATATCAATGTAAAAAGAGGGGCTCTTAAGCTGAAAATCATAAAAGATAAGTAAATGAGTGAGAGCTACTCATCCTAGTCAGTCTCACCCCTACATTACCAGATACTTTCAGTTATCTCTACCTTGCCTCTCAAAATTTGCTGCCAGGTATTACAACTTTTTTGATGCATATTTTCAGGGACGTTTTGATTATCTATGAGATTATATTTGTAACTTCCTAAACCCCCAAAGGAAAATTCTATATCTTGGTGAGTAAAATTTTAGATGGAAGTTATTTACTACACCATCCATGTGTGAATTGTTATACTCACCATACCATTTATAGTAGGGCAAGGCACCTGAGATGTGGAATTCTAAATAGAAAATTCTAATTGCTCTAACAGCCAAATTATCGTCTTTATAACAGGATTAATAACTACAGGGATTACGTAGCCAAAGTTAACACTAAAGTTACTCTAGCCACCCAATAATGTATTTCTCCCAATCATATCGGAAGTTATAAAAGATGGCCCAGACCTAAAATTATCTTCTAACAGGAAGTCACAGGGGAATATATGTTTTTCTCAAAGAAACAAATGTTGCTTTTATATTAACATTTTTGGTAAAGTAGAGCGACATCTGGTGGAGAAAACCAGTATTAAAATCCATCAGAACGGCTATCAAACTCCATTGTCATGGTTATGGCCTATGGTACCCCCACTAATAGTGGTAATCTTAACACTCATATTCGAAACCTGTATTCTAAACCTTGTAAAATTGATCTCTTCTTGCCTAGAAGCTATTAAGCTCCAAATGGTGCTGCAGATGGAACCACGCATGGACATGTCTTTCTTCTGAGGACCCTTATATTGACCCCAGGAGGAGCCCTAGATGCTGTTCCTCACACGACGCCCTCTCCAGCAGAAAGTAGTCATAAGAAGTCATCATCCAGCCCCCCACCCCCAAGAGCAGTTAGGGTTTCCACTCTTGATGGGGGAGATAATACAGGAGGTAGAAATAAATTACGTAGGCAGATAGTGAGGGCAAAAGAGTCCTTTGCAGAATTTCCCGTCCAAAAAAAGCATCTGCCAAAATCATTTTGTTTTCTAACAAAGAGCAGCCTGAAAAAATGAGCTGCAAACATAAATAAGGAAGCTAGAAGCTTGCACGGGGGAATGCTGGTAGCTGCACCAATAGAAAAAGGCTACCTGGGGACCAGGCATGTCCAGGCATGGAGGCTCCATATTCCCTTTTTTTGTTACAGCGTGTACAGGAACAAAGGAATGGGCAACATGGCACAGCTCAGGAAGAGACCCAGCCTGCATTATAAAAGATTAGGTTGGGGGCTACCAGAAATTTATGCCCTATGCAAATGGCACACCTGGTCTAACCAGTTTTTTTTTTTTGTTTGAGCTACCTACATCATATACCACCTCCCCACCACTCATCTATACACCCCCCTGCATTTCTCTGAGGACTGGTAAGCCATTTTTTCAGGACCCCTCTCTGTAGGAGAGCTATTTTCTTTCCTTCAACTATTCAACTTCCATTCTCAAAATCACTCTTTCTGTGTCTGCATCCTTGTTCTCCATGCTGTGAGACAATGAACATCGGGTATCACCCCAGACAATGAGGCTGTTTCAAATCTAACAGGTGGGAAGTGGCAAAGCAGTCTAAACTTATGTGAACTGTGTATAATTGGCCATATGTGGACATTAAAGTCTCTGTTCCATTAGCTTAGTGGTCAGCAAATAACTTGATAAATATTTCTTTAAATTTCTGCAACTAATTATTATTAATTTTTTTGCCACGGATCTGTTTGCATATTGGGTATGACTTTCATACTCAGGAAGTTTACTATTATGCCTTAGTCTTCTCAACATGTTGTGTAGAGCTAAGGTCAATCACACTTATATCTTTGGGGATCCTCATGTCTTTTCTAAGATTGTGTGCAGCCCTGAGCAGGCAGATGGAATTCTACATTCCCAAGAATACATCAGAGATTTCCAAAGCCATTGTGGTTACCTCATTTTTTTTTCACCTTTCCTCTTAAGCATTTTAGTTAACTCTATTGTTTTCCTCAACTGTCATTTATTACCTCAGGGAGCATTCCCAAAAACAATTGCCTGTAAGTATTTTGAAAAATCTCCCCTATCACAGATTGCATCTTTATCACTGGTAAATTTAAGTTTTGTAAAATAAAGACAAACCTTTTGAGTCTGTCTTCTAGGAGGATACCAGATGGTTCAATTTTCTTTTAACTGTGAATAAAATCTATTCCACAACCTTCTGTACTGGAAATTCAGGCTATTATTTCCAAGGGTGTTGATACACTAAAGAAAAGAAGATGGAACTATGATAAATTAAAATTCCAAATAGTTCACTGTTCTTAGTGGAATTCAGCCATTTTGTTTTAAAAAAAAAAAAGCTACTTCTTTTTTTTTCTGATAATCTATGTTTAATTTTAAAATTTGAAAAAAAAATAATTCTAAATTTTCCCAATTTTTTACTGATTTTATAGAAAGGCAGAACTTCAGGTCTTTTTTAATGCACAATTCTGTTACATCTGCAAGTGAGTTTTAGATTTTGTCTATTGTATTTTTTACTTCAAAAATTTCCATTTAGTTCTGCTTTATATTTTCTAATTCTGACTTGAGATTTTCTAATTTTTTTTTATCTTTTTTAAGAGTGTTTGCTCTTAGTTGTTGTACAAATTGTTTTTTTTCTTTTTTCTTTTTGTGATGGAGTCTCGCTCTCTCACCCTGGCTAGAGTGCAGTGGCGCGATCTCGGCTCACTGCAAGCTCTGCCTCCCCAGTTCATGCCATTCTCCTGCCTCAGCCTCCTGAGTAGCTGGGACTACAGGTGCCCGCCACCATGCCCGGCTAATTTTTTTGTATTTTTAGTAGAGACAGGGTTTCACCGTGTTAGCCAGGATGGTCTCGATCTCCTGACCTCGTGATCCACCCGCCTCAGCCTCCCAAAGTGCTGGGATTACAGGTGTGAGCCACCGTGCCCGGCCTTTTTGTGCAAATTTTTAATGATAGTTGCTTTAAAGTCTTTGTCAGGAACTTCTAAGATTTTTGCCTTGCAGTGTTGGTGTCTGAAGATTCTTTTTTTCTATTAATAGTCATTTATCTCATTCTTATTATATGTAGTAATTTTGTATTGTATTCTGCAAAGTGTGAATATTATATCATTAGACACTTTATTTTTATTTTATGTCTGTTTTAACATGCAGCGGAACTTGGGGTACAGGCCTCCAGGTCTGTGGGCAATAGTTTCAACATCAGTTCCATTCTTAAATTATTTGCACTGTTATTTAGAAGTTCCTCATATATGTTTGCCTTACTTTCCAGTCTGAATAACTGGACAAAATCTGCCTATATTTCTATGATCTTATTGCCTCTGCTATGCCAAATAGGGTCAAATATAAGCATGCACAACTCTGGGATGAGTCTAGGAATTTATTAAAATCTTTGTACAGTTGGTTTCCAGAATTTCATTGTCTCTGTAATCTGGCCAGTACTATATTGTTTCTTGAGCCTTCCCATTTTGATTTCTCAGTCAGAGACCTGAGGATTTATTTACCTTGTGCAATTCATGTGTCTGTTCTCACACATGAAGGCAAGCTATGAAAAGACAGAGAGCAAAAAAGGAAACGGCTTTACCAACAGTTTTGGGTCTACAGACACTCTGATAAGAAAGAAAGATCTACTTCTCTCAGTCTTTTAGACTTCTGTCGGCTCCTATTGCTGTTTCCCTGACCACTACGTTATTTAGTAGGAAGGAGGAATCAAATTTAGAAAAGAAAAATGTCAATAAATTTATTTCATTTTTTTAGTGAGAATTAGGATCACATTCTACATTCCTTGACCCAGAAATAGAATGTTAGTTCTGGATCTCTCTATTGCTGCAAACTCTTACTTGCAGGTTTTAAGTTATGTTGGTTCTTGGCTACAGGATAACATAATTTTAAAACAGGCAAACTAATGATAGTTGGGTGGTATTTTGTATTCTTTTTTTTTAATTTAATTTACTACTATTTACCTGTCAGTGTTCTCAAATAGCTGTTACATGCATTCTGTGCAGTTTCTACAGCTATGTTGAATAGAAAGAGAAGATGAGGTGTGTTTAGTTTTTCTTATCCAGAACAAAAACCTGTAGATATTTTTGCAACACATGTTTTAGAGATCAGAATACTAAGGTTTATATAAATAAGACAATATTTCAAAGATCAGATGCCAATATGTGATTTGACAGAACCAAAATATATAGCTCAGCTCATGTTGTCCTAACATTTTGCAACAAAGCCATTGCATCTACTGCCATTAAGATACTCCAAAACAAATAGTATGATACTCCAAAACAAATAGTATAATACTCCAAACAAATAGTATGATGCTCCAAGACAAATAGTATGATTCTTGACTACCCTACTGATATTTTTTTCAACATATCTTAGAACTATTGGATACAGCATATGGTAGCTCTTGCCATTTTATGGAATGGCATTCTTCAGCCTCCATCCTCTTTCCCATAGCTTTCTCATCTGCAAATCTCAACTCATAGAGCATTTAAAAAGTCTCCACCTGCATGTTAAATATATTTTCTATTATTTCTCACTATGCTCTTCCACTACCACCAAAAAAAAAAGAACCAAAACTCTGAAGACTTCTAAAATTTCTATGGATTTTTAAAATAAATATTTTCACTTATTACATTTGTCTGTTTTGATTTTCATGGCTCATCCCATACCACATTCTTTGAGATGATTCTGAAGCTGTTTGCATTTTAGATTTGTGTCCTGTTCCATTAGTACCCAGAACTAATTGTACCTAGTAGGTTCGCTCATCTAATCAGTTAACAAACATATTTCTCTATGAACTTCTTTTGCAAAGTACTGGGGACTCAGATTGAAAATTACAAACAAAAAATTCCTTTAAAAAACTAACTTTCCTCAGGAGACTGAAAATTTCTCTCTCTCTCTTTCTCTCACACACACACAAACACACACACACACACACTCTCGCTCTCTTCTCCCCTCACTCTCTCTCCCCTTCACTCTCTCTCTCCCTCTCATCTCTCTCTCCTTCTGTTTTTCTCTCTTTCTTTCTTTCTTTTTCCTTTCTTTCTTTTTCTTTTCTTTCTTTCTTTTTCTTTCTTTCCCCTTCCTTCCTTCCTTTCCTTTTCTTTCTTTCTTTCTTTCTTTCTTTCTTTTTTCTTTTTCTTTCTTTCTGTCTCTTTCTTTCCTTTTTTCTTTCTATTTTTTACGTTTTTCTTCAAGCAGACAAGAAGACTGACTTATAAACAAGTATCAAAAACAGAATAGTTAAGGTCATAGAACAGAGAAGGGTCTCCCAATGTATACATGTGTTGGGCAGTGGAGCAAAATTTTTCTGGCTAGATATTTGTTGACTAATTGCTCAAGCTATTTCAAAGTAACTGGCATATATTCTTGAATTTGTCATTTTTTTCTGTATAAATACGTTTTCTGTCTTTTCCGCAAAAATGTTTTGGTCAGTGGAAACAACTGGATTGATGTCACTCTGTCACTGTGACTGTTCATCACTGGGCTTCTAATTATACTTGTTTTAATTTTTGTCTATTTTAAAGGATAATAATGTCTTTTGACCTCAGTTTCAAACTGGCAATTACCGATTGTGGTTGCAGCAAGAGTATTTTTTTTTCCCCTGAGTGTCTAAGAATAGAGATTCTAGAGGGAACATAAGGTAGTACGCTTTTTCTGACAAGTTAAAGCATGGCTTTTGAAAATTAAGGCCTAAGGCAATATTAGTCAGATTAACGTTTTTATATATATATACTTTAAGTTTTAGGGTACATGTGCACAACGTGTAGGTTTGTTACATATGTATACATGTGCCATGTTGGTGTGCTGCACCCATTAACTAGTCATTTAGCATTAGATATATCTCCTAATGCTATCCCTCCCCCTCCCCCCACCCCACGACAGGCCCTGGTGTGTGATGTTCCCCTTCCTGTGTCCAAGTGTTCTCATGTTCATTTCCCACCTATGAGTGAGAACATGCGGTGTTTGGTTTTTTGTCCTTGCGATAGTTTGCTATTAACTTTTTTAATGAAACCCAATGACCTTTCAGATGACTGGTGCCTAAATATTGTCAAATGGCTTTATGTCTAGGAAAGGATAACTATATTTTAATGCACCAATATTATGACTGAGAGTAGCAAACTTTTGTCCGAACTATGCATAGGTGCATTTGTGTGTGCAATTATGTCTTTACATTCAGAACTTAGATGTAAAAGCATCTAAAAGATGAGTACATTTTTCTTGGATAAGATAACAACTTTTGATTATAGAATTTTGAGAAATCTGCATATATGGATAAAATATTAAATGCATTTTTGACAAAATAAAAAGGTTTCCCAATTTTATTTCCTACCCTAGACTCAATCTTTCTGCCTTCATCCCCCACATCCTTTTTTAAACTTTTATTTTAGGTCCAAAACTACATGTGAAGGTTTGTTACACAGGTAAATTCATGCGATGAGGGTTCGATGTACAGATTATTTTATCACGCAGGCACTAAGCCTATTACCCAGTAGTTACTTTTTCTGCTCTTCTCCCTCCTTACATGCTGCACCCTCAGTAGGACCTCAGTGTCTGTTGTTTTCCTCTTTGTGTCCATGTATTCTCATCATTTAGCTCCGACTTACAAGGGAGAACACGCAGTATTTGGGTTTCTGTTTCTGTGTTAGTTTGCTAAGGGAAATGACCTACAGTTTCATCTATGTTCCTGCAAAAGAGATCATCTCATTATGTTTTATGGCTGCACAGTATTCGATGGTGTATATGTATCACATTTTTTTATCCGATCTTCCATTGATAAGTATTTAGGTTGATTCCATGTCTTTGTTACTGTGGATAGTGTTGTGATGAACATATGCATGCATATGTCTTTATGATAGAATGATTTATATTCTCTTGGGTATATATGTAGTAATGGGACAGCTGGGTTGAATGCTACTTCTGTTTTTACCTCTGAGAAATTGCCACACTGCTTTCCACAATTGTTGAACTAATTTACACTTCCCATAACAGTGTATAAGTGTTCTCTTTCTTGGCAATCTCACCAGCATATATAACTTTTTTACTTTTGAGTAATAGCAATTACTTAAGATGTTTCTAATTTTTTCTTATAACCATGTAACAGTGAATATTATTATACATTACTATAAGGTTTCTAATTTTTTGTTATAACAATTCAGCAGTGAATAGTATTATACACTACTTCTTATGCACATAAATAGCATCTCTTAAAGATATTATACCTGGTATTGGAAATTCTATGTTATTGGATATGTGCAACTTGAACTTCATTCAATTTTTTTTTAATTTTATTATTATTATACTTTAAGTTTTAGGGTACATGTGCACAATGTGCAGGTTTGTTACATATGTATACATATGCCGTGCTGGTGTGCCACACCCATTAACTCGTCACTTAGCATTAGCTATATCTCCTAATGCTATCCCTCCCGCCTCCCCCCATCCCACAACGGTCCCCGGTGTATGATGTTCCCCTTCCTGTGTCCATGTGTTCTCATTGTTCAATTCCCACCCATGAGTGAGAACATGCAATGTTTGGTTTTTTGTCCTTGCGATAGTTTGCTGAGAATGATGGTTTCCAGCTTCCTCCATGTCCCTCCAAAGGACATGAACTCATCATTTTTTATGGCTGCATAGTATTCCATGGTGTATATGTGCCACATTTTCTTAATCCAGTCTATCGTTGACGGACATTTGGGTTGGTTCCAAGCCTTTGCTATTGTGAATAGTGCCGCAATAAACATACGTGTGCATGTGTCTTTATAGCAGCATGATTTATAATCTTTTGGGTATATACTCAGTAATGGGATGACTGGGTCAAATGGTATTTCTAGTTCTAGATCCCGGAGGAATAACCACACTGACTTCCACAATGGTTGAAGTAGTTTACAGTCCCACCAACAGTGTAAAAGTGTTCCTATTTCTCCACATCCTCTCCAGCACCTGTTGTTTCCTGACTTTTTAACTTCATTCAATTATTAAGGCATAGGAAAATTCATTTTTTTTTTCTGTGACAACTTGGGTATTTCATGCAGCCTTCCTTATCTCAGTAGAAAACAGATCCTACCAAGCTACTTTTTGTAGCAAGGATTTCCAAGTCAAGTGAAAAGTGGTGACTAAATTGAAAACCTCAAATTTTCTGCCCTCCCTAACTTTGCCTTTACACTGGTATGCTCTTCCTACCCTGAGTGCTGCCATCAACAATTTGTTTCCTAGGTAACTGCTATCTACCCTTTACCCCACTTTTCCAAGAAGGAATTTAATCCTTCTTTTGTTTTTATTGGCCCAGGTTGGACATATTTTACTAAGGTTTACATAATACTATGGGAAAAGCACCAAATAGTAAAACATATAGAAAAGATAAAAAGTTCAAAATCATCTATGCTTGCCAAATCCAGGCTTCAAATTCTCACATTTTAATCTCATCTTCAGGTTTGGTAGGACCTGTGTAATTGTAGTAGCTACACTCCAGCTCCGAAATACAATATTTTTTATTAGCTACCTCTACCAGGAGGAAGTCATCTTTCTACTCATCCTCTATAAACTTTATCTTAGACTCCTTAACACTACTAAATGTCTCATACCAGAAGACTCAATTTCTCACATGGTAGCTCATATAAGGCATTACTCTGCTAGTTCAGTTTTTTGGGTCTTAAAAGATGCTTTTTTTCTCAATATATATTTGACACCAAGAATTGTCACATTTTAAAAAGTCAACACTGACTTTACACTTAGGTCTAATAATATAAAATCATATTAACCTTATCACGGACATAACATACATTTAAAATGGATTTCTCACATGTAGAAACAGAAGACTTTTCCGTTACACTTCCAGGGGTACCTGAGTTACAATTAAAGATGTTTCCCTTTGTGACTTACCCAAAAGTTCCCTGATCTGATAAACAAACTTAGGAAAGTTCAGGATACAAAATTAATGTAAAAAATGAGGAAATTTTTTAATAATTCAAACACAATTTATTTTTAATTTCTCAAACAAAAATAAACAGTTCAAGTCACTGATTGGCACGCTACAGCTTGCAGGCCAAACCCCACGCCACACCTGTTTTTGTAAATAAACTTTTCTTGGATTACAGCCATGCTCATTTGCGTGCATATTTTCTGTGGGTGCTTTTGCATGTCAGCAGCAGAGTTGAGTAGACGTAACAGAGGTCGCATTACCAGCAAAGCCCAAAATATTTACTGTCCGGTCCTTTACAGAAAAAGTTTGCAGACCCCTGATTTAAGTGACCATGATTTGATTTAAGGACAAGGTGATATCTGACAAAAGTATCAGTAAGAATGGGGGCACTGACCCATCAAATAGTAAGATTCCCCCAAATAGGAAGGAGATTAAGAGTGAATATTTGACATCAATTCTTTGACAAACGTTTTGATATAAATTATAATTACTTAAACTACACATTCAAATAATTTAACAAGAACCTTTTTCTTCCCTGATTTGGTCACTTTATTATTTGAGCAAGAGAACAGATTGCTAATATTTCGTCGAAAAGAGGTCACACCTGAAAGGGTGAAGAAGAACAGCTTAACCATCTCTCATCTGCTTGTTCTTAAACCAAGCTGAGAGTTGCTGCCTGTTTTCCAGATGTCCATCTCCTCATTACAGAAGCTGAAGACTTGCTGTAACCATGTAAGACAAGCTGGGAAGCAATCAACTCCTCATCTCTCTGCTCCTAGGCTCCACGATTGTTCTATTTCTTTCTGGGAAAGGGTTACTGTCATTTTTTTTTTTTTTTTCTGAGAAACTGTGATTGGCTCAGTCATGAATACTATCGAATTTGTATGCTATTGGTATATCAGGAACTTACTGACTAGAAAAGTTTTATGTAAGAAGTTCATGTTTTTATGGTGCCAGATGGAAGACAGCCCTCCAAGTTGAGATCCCGGGATTCTACACATTCAGAGTCTCAAAATTTCCTCCAGATCAAACTCCTCCAGTTGTTCAGTAGAGTCAATGAATTATGCCCCAGTGGTTGTCACTTCTGGCTTGGCTGGAGGTACAAGGCGAGGCCAGTGCAATGGATGTTTGTGCCATTTGATGCATTTGTGCCATTTGATGGATAGTGTAGCAACAATTTTTTCTCTCTAAGAAGCACTGTAGGATCCATTGGTATTTTATTGTTGTTGTTGTTGTTCTTTTTGTTATCTCCCAATAACAGTCCTTTCCCAAGTGTCTACATATAAGGGCTTGAGCCAGCATCATCTGTCCACAGCATAGCATACATCCCCAACCAGCATCTGATGAAGGGCCCGTTCCCCAAATTGGTGAAAATTTCCTTCTGTATGTAAACTATAGACAAACACTTATATCAGACAAGAGCTTAGATGTTTCTGTTTTAATAAGATGCTGCTTTTCTAAGATCCATACCAGCTCATCTGTATCTAAATATTCTTCGAGGTATTCAGTGAAAGAAGTAATCTGGTTTTCATAGTTCGATTAAACTGACTCCATTCTCCAGCTGTCATCCTGGGCCAATTCCACCAGCAACCTGGTGGAATAGCTTCTGCACAACAAAATAAACTATCAACAGAATAAACAGGCAACCTAAGAGTGAGAGAAAATATTTGAAAACCATGCATCTGACAAATATCTAATATCAAGAATCTATAAGGAACTTAAACAAATTTACATGCAAAAACCAAACAACCACATTACAAAGTGGACAAATAATGGGAACAGACACTTTTCAAAAGAAGACATACATGTGGTCAACAAGCTTATAAAAAATGCTTAACATTACAAATAATTAGAGATATGCAAATAAAAAACATTGCGAAATATCATCTCACACCAGTCAGAATGGTTATTGTTAAAAAGTCAAAAATAGCAGATGCTGGCAAGGTTGTAGGGAAAGAGTACTTATAAACTGATAGTACAAAGAAAAATTACTTCAGCCATTGTGGAAAGCAGTGTGGTGATTCCTTAAAGAACTTTTAAAACAGAACTACAATTTGGCCAGCAATTCTGTTGTTGGGTATATACACCAAAAAATGTAAATCATTCTACCATAAAGACATATGCATGTGTATATTCATCACATCATTATTCAAAATAAAAAGACATGAAATCAACCTAAATGCACATCAATGGTAGACTTGGTAAAGAAAATGTGGTACTTATACACCACGGAATACTATGCAGCCATAAAAAAGAACCAAATCATGCCCTTTCCAGCAACGTTAATGGAGCTGGAGGCCATTATCCTAAGCAAATTAACAAAGAAACAGAAAACCAAATGCTGCATTTTCTCACTTATAAGTGGAAGCCAAACATCAAGTACATATGGACACAAAGAAGGAAGCCAGAGTCAGGCCTATCTGAGGGTGGAGGTTGGAAGGAGAGTGAGGATCAAATAACTATTTATCAGGTACTATATTTACTATCTAGGAAAGAAAATATGCATAATTTATTCATATAGCAAAGTTGCACATCTTTCCCCTGAAACTTAAACAATAGTTCTAAAAAAAACTACACATTTTGTTGAGCATTCTATAAAAGTTGTTTTCTAAAAGATAAATAGAGCTAGGCATGATGGGTCACACCTGTAATCCCAGCATTTTGGGAGGCCGAGGCGGGTGGATCACCTGAGGTCAGGAGTTCGAGACCAGCCTGGCCAATATGGCGAAACCCCATCTCTACTAAAAATACAAAAATTAGCCGGACAGGGTGGCACAACATGTAATCCCAGTTGCTCGGGAGGCTGAGGGAGGAGAATCGCTTGAACCCAGGAGGCAGAGGTTGCAGTGAGATGAGATTGCGCCACTGCACTCCAACCTGGGTGACAGAGCGTGATTCTGTCTCAAAAAAAATAAAATAAAATAAAAATAAAGTAAATTAAATAAATTAAAAAATATAAAAGGTAAATAATCTTGAATCCTGATTTTATTTTGTTCATGTTCATGAATGAACAACACAGTAATTCAGGACCTGTAAACAAAATTGGGAAGAAAATTACTTTAACAGATTGAATGATAAAGGTAGTAACAAATATGTAACAAAGATGTTATAAATGAAGAATACACCAAAAAACTAATGCAGATGCGTATCTCATAAATTTAGGAGCAAATAAGACCTGACTAGTCAGTACAAGTGTATAAATAAGAAGAGTCCAATTATACATTTTATATAGCATATGATTTTCAAGCCTAATACTTGGGGAAAATCTCAAGTTCTAGAATTTGAGTCAAAAATTAGTTACTTAGTCCTGGATATTTTTGGTTGGTGGGCTATTAATTATTGCCTCAATTTCAGAGACTGTTATTGGTCTATTCAGGGATTAAGCTTCTTCCTGGTTTAGTCTTGGGAGAGTGTATGTGTCCAGGAATTTATCCATTTCTTCTAGATTTTCTAGTTTATTTGTATAGAGGAGTTTATAGTATTCTCTGATGGTAGTCTGTATTTCTGTGGGATCGGTGGTAATATCCCCTTTATCATTTTTTTATTGCCTCTATTTGATTCTTCTCTCTTTTCTTCTTTATTAGTCTTGCTAGCGGTCTATCAATTTTGTTGATCTTTTCAAAAAAACAGCTACTGGATTCATTGATTTTTTGAAGGTATTTATTATTATTATTATACTTTAAGTTCTAGGGTACATGTGAATAATGTGCAGGTTTGTTACATATGTATACATGTGCCATGTTGGTGTGCTGCACTTGTTAACTCGTTATTTACATTAGGTATATCACCTAATGCTATCCTTCCCCACTCCCCCCACCCCATGACAGGTCCCGGTGTATGATGTTCCCCACCCTGTGTCCAAGTGTTCTCATTGTTCAGTTTCTGCCTATAAGTGAGAACATGCGGTGTTTGTTTTTCTGTCCTTGCGATAGTTTGCTCAGAATGATGGTTTCCAGCTTCATCCATGTCCCTACAAAGGACATGAACTCATCCTTTTTTATGGCTGCATAGTATTCCATGGTGTATATGTGCCACATTTTCTTAATCCAGTCTATCATTGATGGACATTTGGTTTGGTTCCAAGTCTTTGCTATTGTGAATAGTGCCGCAATAAACATACATGTGCATGTGACTTTATAGCAGCATGATTTATAATCCTTTGGGTATATGCACAGTAATGGGATGGCTGGGTCAAATGGTATTTCTAGTTCTAGATCCTTGAGGAATCGCCACACTGTCTTCCACAATGGTTGAACTAGTTTACAGTCCTACCAACAGTGTAAAAGTGTTATCATTTCTCTACACCTTCTCCAGCACGTGTTGTTTCCTGACTTTTTAATGATCACCATTCTAAATGGTGTGAGATGGTATCTCATGGCGGTTTTGATTTGCATTTCTCTGATGGCCAGTGATGATGAGCATTTTTTCATGTTTCTGTTGGCTGCATAAATGTCTTCTTTTGAGAAGTGTCTGTTCATATCCTTGCCCACTTTTTGATGGGGTTGTTTGATTTTTTCTTGTAAATTTGTTTAAGTTCTTTGTAGATTCTGGATATTAGCCCTTTGTCAGATGGGTAGATTGTAAAAATATTTTCCCATTCTGTAGGTTGCCTGTTCACTCTGATGGTAGTTTCTTTTGCTGTGCAGAAGCTCTTTAGTTTAATTAGATCCCATTTGTCAATTTTGGCTTTTGTTGCCATTGCTTTTGGTGTTTTAGACATGAAGTCCTTGCCCATGCCTATATCCTGAATGGTATTGCCTAGGTTTTCTTCTAGGGTTTTTATGGTTTTAGGTCTAATATTTAAGTCTTTAATCCATCTTGAATTAATTTTTGTATAAAGTGTAAGGAAGGGATTCAGTTTCAGCTTTCTATATATGGCTAGCCAGTTTTCCCAGCATCATTTATTAAATAGGGAATCCTTTCCCCATTTCTTGTTTTTGTCAGGTTTGTCAAAGATCAGATGGTTGTAGATGTGTGGTATTATTTCTGACGGCTCTATTCTGATCCGTTGGTCTATATCTCTGTTTTGGTACCAGTACCATGCTGTTTTGGTTACTGTGGCCTTGTAGTATAGTTTGAAGTCAGGTAGCATAATGCTTCCAGCTTTGTTCTTTTGACTTAGGATTATCTTGGCAATGTGGGCTGTTTTTTGGTTCCATATGAACTTTAAAGTAGTTTTTTTCAATTCTGTGAAGAAAGTCATTGGAGACTTGATGGGGATGACATTGAATCTATAAATTACCATTGGCAGTATGGCCATTTTCACAATATTGATTCTTCCTATCCATGAGCGTGGAATGTTCTTCCGTTTGTTTGTGTCCTCTTTTATTTCATTGAGTGCTTTGTAGTTCTCCTTGGAGAGGTCCTTCACATCCCTTGTAAGTTGGATTCCTAGGTATTTTATTCACTTTGAAGCAATTGTGAATGGGAGTTCACTCATTATTTGGCTTTCTGTTTGTCTGTTATTGGTGTATAGGAATGCTTGTGATTTTTGCACATTGATTTTGTATCCTGAGACTTTGCTGAAGTTGCTTATCAGCTACAGGAAGTTTTGGGCTGAGACGATGGGGTTTTCTAAATATAAAATCATGTCATCTGCAAACAGGGACAATTTGACTTCCTCTTTTCCTAATTGAATACCCTTTATTTCTTTCTCTTGACTGATTGCCCTGGCCAGAACTTCCAACACTATGTTGAATAGGAGTGGTGAGAGGGCATCCCTGTCCCATGAACACTTTTAGAGATTGAGACACAAAAGAATATTTAAAAGATCAACAAGTCTAGAAGCTGGTTTTGAAAAAAAAATAATGAGATAGGTAGATTGCTAGCTAGAATAATAAAGAAGGAAAGACAGAGGATTGAAATAAACACAACTAGAAATGACAAAGGGCATATTACCACTGAACACACAGAAATACTAATGACCATCAGCAAATACTATGAACACCTCTGTACACACAAGCTAGAAAATCTAGAAAAAATATAGATAAATTCCCGGATACATACACAGTTCCTACACTAAACCAGCAAGAAATTGAATCTCTAAACATAACAAAACGAGCTCCAATTGTATCAGTAATAAATAGCCTACCAAACAAAAAAAGCCCAGCATCAGACAACTTTATAGCCAAATGCTACCAGATGAACAAAGAAGGGCTGGTTTTATTCCTACTGAAACTATTCCCAAAAATAAGGAGGAGGGTCTCCTCTCCTACTCATCTATGAGGCCATCATAATCCTGATACCAAACTTGGCAGACGCACAACAGAAAAAGAAAATTTTAGGCCAATATCCTTGATAAACATCGATGCAAAAAACCTCAACAAAATACCAGCAAACTGTATCCAGCATCACATAAAAATGCTAATCCATCATGTTCAAGTAGGTTTTATCTTTGGGATACAAGGGTGGTTCAACATATACAAATCAATAAACACAAGTCATCACATAAATACAACTAAAGATAAAAACCAAAAAATCATCTCATAGATGCAGAAATAGCTTTTGATAAAATTCAACATGTCTTCATGGTAAATACTCTCAACAAACTAGGTACTGAAGGAACATACCTCAAAATAAGAGCCATCTATGACAAACCTACAGGCAGCATCATACTGAATGGGCAAAAGCTGGAAGCATTCCCCTTGAAAAGTGGCAGAAGACAAGGATGCCCTCTGTCACCATTCCTACTCAACATAGTATTGAAATCCTAGCCAGAACAATTAGGCAAAATAAAAAAAAAAATAAAGGGCAACCAAATAGCAAGGGAGAAAATCTAACTATCCCTGTTTGCAGATGACATGGTTCTATATCTAGAAAACTCCATTGTCTCTGCCCAAACACTGCTTGAACTAATAAGCAACTTAACAAAGTTTCAGGATACAACATCAACATGCAAAAATTACTAGCAATCCTACATATCAACAACAGCCAAGCTGAGAGCCAAATCAGAAATGCAATCCCATTCACAGTTGACATAAAAAGAATGAAACATCTAGTAATACTTCTAACCAGGGAGGTGAAAGATCTCTACAGTGAGAATTATAAAATACTGGTCAAAGGTATCAGAAATGACTCAAACAAATGAAAAAACATTTCATGCTCAGCAATTAATATATTCAGTGGTACAATGGTATACTTATCAAACTACCACTGACATCATTCACCTAAATAGAAAAAAATTTTAAATTCATAGGGAATGAAAGAAGACCCTGGACAACTGAGGCAATTCTGAGTAAAAAGTACAATGCAGAGAGCATAACACTACCCAGTTTCAAGCAATACAACAGGGCTAGAGTAACCAAAACAGCATGGTACTGGTAGAAAAGCACACAAATAGACCATTTGAACAGAATAGAAAGCTCATAAATAAGGCTGCACACCTACAAACATCTTATCTTAGGCAAATCTGACAAAAACAAGCCATGGGGAATGGACTCCCTATCCAGTAAACAGTTCTGGGAAAACTAGCAAGCCATATGCAGAACTTTGAAACTGGATTTCTTCCTTACACCATATACAAAAATCAACTTAAGATGTATAAAAGACTTAAATGTAAAACTCAAAACTATAAAAACCCTGGAAGACAACCTACACAATATCATTCAGGACATAGGTACTGGCAAAAATGTGGTGAAAAAGACACCAACAAAAATTGCAACAAAAGCAAAAATTGACAAATGGGATCTAACGAAACTAAGGAGCTTCTGCACAGCAAAAGAAACTATCAACAGAGTAAACAAACAGTTATAGACTGGGATAAAAAGTTTACTAATTTTGCATCTGACAAAAGTCTAATACCCAGCATCTGTAAAGAACTTATACAAATTTACATGAAACAAGTAACCCTATTTAAAAGTGTGCAAACAACATGAACAGATATTTTTCAAAAGAAGACATACATGTGGCCAAGAAGCATGTGAAAGAAAGCTCAATATCACTGATCATTAAAGATATGCAAATCAAAACCACAATGAGATACCATCTCACACTGTCAGATGGCTATTTTTAAAAAGTCAAAAAATAACAGATGTTAGCAAGGTTGCTGAACAAAGGGAGCACTTACATACTGTTGATGGGAATGAAAACTTTGCAACCATTATGGAAAAGCAGTGTGGCAATTTCTTAAAGAGCTGCATATATCCCCAAAGGAATAGAAATCATTCTGTCATAAAGACACATGCACACGTATGTTCATTGCATCATTATTCACAATAGCAAAGACATGGAATCAACCTAAATGCCCATCAATAGTCTACTTGATAAAGACAATGTAGAAGATATACACCATGGGATGCTATGCAGCCATAAAAAATGATATTGTGTCTTTTACAGGACTTGTGTGGAACTGGAGGCCATTATCCTTTGCAAACTAATGCATAATCAGTAAACCAAATACTGCCTGGTATCACTTGTATGTAGGAGGTAAATGATGACAGCACATGGACACAAGGAGGGGACAACAGACACTGGGCCCTGCCTGAGGGTGAATGGTAGGAGGAGAGAGAGGAGCAGAAAAATAACTATTGGGTAGTAATAGTTATTTTTATATTATAAAAATATTAAATATATTTAAGTATAAGTAGGTTTAGTATCTGGGTAATGAAATAATCTGTACAACAAACCCCTATGATTTGAGTTTACCTAGATTACAAACTTGCACATGTACCCCTGAACCTAAAATAAAAGTTTAAAAATATGATTAACTTTATTTTAACTATTTTAACTTGCTGACTGCCTGATGTGGGTCCTTTAAATAGCCTTGCTGTTGAATTTTGCTCTTGAAGCTAGCTGGTAAGAACATAATTGGAAATATCTGGAGCAAGCAAAATATAAGAACCTTCACTAAGAAATAGAGATCAAGAAAGAAGAGTTTTCCTAACAGTTGAAGAAAATGTTTTAGGAAAATACTGTTCCAGAGAGAAAGAAACTAATGAATAAGTACAGAGAAGAAAGTAGTTCATGATGAAATACAGAGACAGAGAGTCAGGAAATTGTTATCTTGAAAATAAATAAATGATTAAAAAACAAACTGCAAAGAACAAAACAGAAAAAAAATAAATAGAAGATTAAAAATGAATGAGTCATTATATAACTTAGTAAGGAACAAATCATTATATTTAAGCACTTGAATGCTGAGAGCTGAGTGTCAGCTACAGAGGGGCAAAATTATAAAGATGTTTAGGAATACAGTACAAGTTTTTCAGATTGTGGGGTTTGCCCATTTGAACTCTATTTTTTAAATCAAATAAATCTTTTTGACTAAATTTTTAACTTTGTATATTTATAAAAACTTTGCTATTATATAACTGGAAATTCCTAGTTTTCCAGGCTCAAAGAGCTCCTTGCTAAATTTCCTTAGGTAAGTTTATAATTGCCTCATGAACTTAGAGATAATATTAGTCTCAGAGAAGAGATTAAACATACAATGAATGAGATTAGTCATTTGTAGAAGTCATTTACCATACAGGACAGTATATAATCGTGATTATTATGAGATAGTGTGTCTCCTATAATTAAGATGACTAGCATGTTTCATCGGGACTAGAATGTAACTTAAAACTGTAATTTAATCAATGTTATTGTACTCTAAAAACTAATGTTTTATTATAGATGGTGATACGGTTTGGCTCTGTCCCCACCCAAATCTCATCTTTAATTGTAGCTCCCATAATCCCCACATGTCATGGGACGGACCAGGTGGGAGGGGGTTGAATCATGGGAGTGGGTTTTTCTCATGATTGTGAATGAGTCTCAGGAGATCTGATGGTTTTATGGAGGGCAGTTTCCCTGCACATGCTCTCTTGACTGCCACAGTGTAAGATGTGTCTTTGCTCCTCCTTTGCCTTCCACAATGATTGTGAGGCTTCCCCAGCCATGTGGAACTGTGAGTCCATTAAACCTCTTTTTCTTTATAAATTTCTGTGTCTTTGGTGTGTCTTCATTAGCAGCGTGAGACGTACTAATACAGACAGGTGTGGTTTACCAAAAGACTACACAAAGAGGATAAAAGAGTAAGAATTTAGTCTTGTTACTGAGCACAATGCAGTTAAGAGAGACACTATATTTGATGGACACAAATTTTCTAGTCTCTAGACATGTCTTTGTAATTGCAGGTCAAGAATAAATCATCAGTCTCTCTTGTGATACAGATTTCATCACAAGAAAGCTCAAGGCTCACCACATTTGGATTTCTTGTTAATCAGTTCCTAACTACCTAATTTAGCTTGCCAAGTACTTTGATTCCATATACATTTTCTTTGCACCACTAGAATGAGGTACCTTTTGCTGTAAATTTTAAAACTAGCATTCTTGCATATACATCAATCATTCTGAGAATAGTTAACGTGAGCGTATTCTTAAAAAACTATTACCTCTTGAAATAGGAACAAAAAATAGGTGTACCTTATATTTGGCACAAGAAGTTAAACAACTATAACAAATAAAATAAAAGGTGCGTAACAGCACATATTCAATACAGATTCATTTCTCACTAACTTAACAGTTTAAGTTGGGTTTCTTGTTGGCAAGTTATACTCCTCCAGTTGATGACTTATGAACATGGATTTCTTCTGTCTTGTGGATACACCATCCCATAGAGCCTTATTTTCATCTGCACTTAGTTGAAGAAAGAGAAAATTGTGAAGGAATGCTTGCCACTCATAGGCCTTGGCAGAAAATTGCATAGCTTTTGCTCTTATTCTATTGACTAAAAATCCATTATGTGGCTATATGCAATTGCAAAGGAGGTAGAGATGCTTTGCTTAATTGTGTGCCCAGAAGAACCATAAGTGGTTTTGGTGATGAACTAGAAGTTTATGCCAAATCTTGTAAAGCTGAGGACAAACCTTATATCTTGATGATAACACTAAAGAACTCCAGCCATGATATTAGATGTACATATTTAATCTCAACTGCACTGTAAATAAGGAGTTTCATTATTTAGTGGCAGTAACTTAAGATGAAAGTGTTAGAAGAATTTTAATTTGACATTGGAAATTGCCATAATTTCATTCATTAGTACTGAATGAAACATAAGTGAAAAAATATAACTGGGCACAGTTAGGGGAGAAACTATATTTGACTTCAAGTGTTAAGATGGATTCTGGCAATGGGGCTTATAGGAATATAAGAAACAATAAAAATTCTTAGGCTATTTTGGACCAAGTATTCTGCATTGATTCTTAACATTACAGACAACTTAATAATTTTGTCAGTCTTTCTTCTACCATAGGTTTCTAGTCCTTAGAGAAAGAAGAAAAACTGATGAAAGATGGCCATAGATAACTGCCTGAATAGAAACTGTATGTTAGCTATAACCTGAATATTTGTAAACACCAACTTAACATCTTCATCATTCATACTATCAATATCCCATGTTTTACTTGTCTCTTTCAGCTACTCTTTAAGTTTTGCATTATTTTGGGGTGATTCTGATGAGAAAGAAATTTATTTCTAACATTTGCAAAATCACAAGAGAAGTCTTGCAAAACCACAATAAAAGCTTATTTTGCAATTAAGAAGAAAATGAAGTAAGAAGTATGGAATTCATGCTCAATTGTATTTTAGTTGTTGGATCGTGTTTCGTATAATGAAAACAAGTATATTATGTAGAATTCACTATAGCATCAAAACAAATGCTTTTCTTAAGTACCATAGTCACTGCTTAAACATCTTCTATTTCCATTGTTGTCAGATATTTAAAATGTTAATTTTATCTTGTGAATTCCTTGCTAAGCATTTTTAAACCTCTAAAAGCAACAGACAACTGTAATAGTGATCTACTGAAACACATGTTAATTCTTTTAAATGATCAAAGGTAACTCATGAAAATTATAATGCATTAACCTGATTATATATGACATTATTGAATAGCGTGTCTGCAGATTGAATTATGATATAACTGTGACAATTTAATGATTGCATGCTCATGATCTCATTTTATGTTTCAGGTCCAGATTTCTTTTCTTCTATTACTCAAATTCTGGGAAAATATACATTGATGAAGCCTTTGGAAAAAGAAAAAATCTGCATTAATACTGGTATGGGCCATGGACAAGATACTATAAACTTCTTGGATTAAATGAATAAAATACAAGATTAGCATGGAAGAGTCAGCAGTACTCAAAATGTCACATATGAATATATTAATAAAAACTTATCAATGTTTCTATGTACCAGATTTGCTTATTTGTGAAAGTATTTATAGAGATCTAATGTTGCCATTGTTAAAAAATGTGTTGGGCCTTCCTCTGCTTCAAAAAACACTCTCTGGGAGTTAGCCACATTATTTTAACTATTCTTGGAAGTGACAAATCATAATCTTTTGAGAATGAACTTGATTTTAATTCAAATATTATAAAAACCCAAAGATGACTAGATTTTTAATAACTTGGCTGATATAATTTAGGCTAAAAATATAGTGACATGATTGGCCTATTTGTGTGATTAATATGAGTTTTATTCAACAGATATTTACTGAGTGATATGTATAAAAATTGTGTTTTTGATGCTAAAGGGAATGGTTCTCAACTTTGCAATAAAATTGCTTGGGCAGCTTTAAAAATACTAAGTCCTACCCCCATAAATAATTATTGATTTGCCTGGGTGGGACCCAGGTATTGATGTAAACATTAAAAACCCTTTCCAGGTGATTATAATGTGTAACCATGGTTGTAAATGGCTAAGGTAAAATATTTAGACATAAGTAAGACAATTAACTGGATACAACTGATGAAAAATGTCCTTCTGTTTCCCTATGCTGTGAGTTTCACCTATAGAGTCACAGTCAACAGAATAAAACTAAAGGGTAGAGAGTAAAGTACTATTTGCTGAGTGTTAACTCTGTGCCAAGCAGTTTTTTAAAATCTCTATGTGTCCTACAGTATTTAATCCTCACAGCAACAGTATAAGATATATAATCATCTCCGTGTTTCATAAACGAGAAAAACAAAGATCAGAGAGGTTATAAAACATTGCATGCCGTCACCCAGATAGTAAATAGCAGAGCCATGATTCAGATCTAATGCTATCAGCCTTCAAAATTCTTGTTCCCTTTACTCTACAATGTTGCCTCAAATAAGGGTAATAAAGGCCATGCATACATATTAAGTATGTACTTAATGGCACACATATTAAGAATGTACTTATGTATTATGTACATGCAGAACTTACTATAAGTTGTATAACCACTTATTATAAGTGCTGTACACACATAATACATAAGTACATACTTAATATGCATGCTTATTATTATATTATTAAGTGCTGTAAAACAGATGTAAACAAAGACTTTAATTCAGAAGAAGGAGAGGTATTTTTAGCTGAGGATAAAAATAAATACTTTATAAGGGAGAACATTTAAGTTGGAATATTAAGGAGTGACAGAATTTTTATAGGTGGGCATAAAGAGACAGGGATTTTAAAATACAGGCAAAGAGATACAGAAATAAAATCATGTAGTATATTTGAGTAATTAAGTGTGGACTATATTAATGGTACTCAACAAAGGCAGTACAACTGTGATGTTTAGAAATGAGTGAGATTAGTTTTGGTTCTATTAGAAATGAAAGCACTCTACAATGCATATAACAATCTTTCAAAATCAATAATAATAATGTAAATGACATTGAAACTCCTGTATATGGTATGCTTATGAAAGTTGCAGGAGATAAAGCATGGTAGAGAGTATTAGTGCTTACCAATACTTTTAGTCCTCCTCTCATTTTGGACACATTGGAAGATTGGATTCCTTTGTGTTCTTTAATTTAGGTGAAACCAATGAAAATGAAAGAAGGAAAAGGTGTTAACAGCAGGCAGAAGTATTTACAAGCAGGTACACAATTCTACTTCCCTTTTTCTCCATGGAGGTAAATATAGGATTCTATTATTGAGGGGGTGGTGCCACAAAATTGAATCATCCTGTATTACTGAGCTATCACATAGGGGACTGCTGCCTTGAAAAGATGACTAGGACTGTAACAGACTTTGTAATATCTTCCTGTTACTTTAAAATACTGACATTTTAGTGTAGTTTCTTTTATTGTCATAATCTAGCCCATAGAGACTAATATTTAAAGTTGGATATATGAATTAAAAATAGCTTGCAAAGATACTTCAATATTAGAGTATAAAGTTTAAACATGTCTCTGAAGACCCTTCAAATACCAGATTTCTACCACTGTTCAGAGAATTGATATTATAATAGGATTAAGTGTGTAATCACCCAATTTAACTTCTTTGAAGAATACCATTAATTGAGATATACAGTTTTGGTATGTTTAAAATTACTATCATTCCCTTTTAGTCACAGAGTATGCAAATGATCAGAATATCTTTTAGACAGGTCTGATGTCAGCATTAAAAGAAATTCCATAGGTTAAGAAAGGGAAAAATTGTTATTGAAATGTGACAGAATCTTACCAGCAAATACAACTGTCCAACATATAAAGTAGAGAACTATCTTTCATGCATGCTGGAAAGTACTTAACAATAAGAATTTTTCATCATCATTGTCTCCTTTATATAAAGAAGCATCTGGATAACTTTCTTTCTTGTCAGATTTCTCATCACCCCAAAAGACATAAAGATTCAAATAGTCTGGTATGCTATAGAAATGGGAGACATGCCCAAGAAATGTTAAAGTGCTCATCTGCTCATCTCACGCCTTCTCTGTGCTCTGAACACAGTAATGTGAAAATAAGCTGAAACCATTTAAAGCAACTTGGCAATATTTATTGAGAAACTATACAATGTTTATATCTCTCAATTGAGTAAATTCACTTTAAGGATTCTAGCTAAAGAAAATAATGCCAAATAACAACAATTTTTAAACACAAAAATATTCTGTATGGCTCTGCTGCCCTGCAACCTTGGGACACTGCTCCCTGCATCCCAGCTGCTTCCACTCCAATCATGACTAAAACGTCCCTAGATATGTCTCAGGCCACTGCTCCAGAGGATGCCAGCCATAAGCCTTAGCAGCTTTCATGTGATCTTAAGCCTGTGTGTGGAGAGAGGACAAGAGTTGAGGCTTGAGAGTCTCTGCCTAGATTTCAGAGGATGTATGGAAATGCCTGGATGTCCAGGCAGAAGTCTGCTGCAAGGGCAGAGCCCTCATGGAGAACCTCTACTAGGGCAGTGCAGAGGGGAAATGTGGGATTGGAGCCCGTGCACAGAGTCCTCAATGGGGCACTGCCCAACGGAGCTATGAGAATAGGGCCACCATTCTCCAGACCCCAGAATAATAGATCCACCAAAAGCTTGTACTGTGTACCTGGAAAAGCGAAAGGCACTCAATGCCAGCCATTGAGAGCAGGCATGGGAGCTGAGACTTGCAAAGCCACAAGGGCAGAGCTGCCCAAGTCCTTAGGAGCCCACCCCTTGAATCAGTGTGCCCTGGATTTGGGACATGGAGTCAGAGGAAATTATTTTGGGGCTTCAAGATTTAATGACTGCCCTGCTGGGTTTCTGACTTGCATGGGGCCTGTAGCCACTGTGTTTTAGCTGATTTTTCCTTTTTGGAATTGGAGTATTTAGCTAATGCCTGTAGTCCCATGGTATTTTGGAAGTCATGAACTTGTTTTTTAATTTACAGGCTTATAGGCGGAAGGGACTTGCCTTGTCTCAGATGAGACTTTGGACTGTGGACTTTTGGGTTAATGTTGAAATGAGTTAAGACTTTGGAGGACTGTTGAGAAGGGAGGACTATATTTTTCAATGTAAAAAGGGCATGAGATTTGGGAGGGGCCAGTGGCAGAATAATATAGTTTGAATTTATGTCCCCACCAAATCTCATGTCAAATTGTAATCCTCCCTGTTGGAAAAAGGGCCTAATGGGCAGTGATTGAATCATGGAGATGGACTTCCTCCTTGCTGTTCTCTTGATAGTGAGTGAGTTCTCATAAGATCTGGTTAAAAGTGCATAGCACCTCCCCCTTCTCTCTCTTCCTCCTGCTCTGGCCATGTAAGATATTTTTGCTTCCCTTTCTGCCATGATTGAAAGTTTTCTGTGGCCTCTCCAGCCATGGTTCCTGTACAGCCTGCAGAAACATAAACCAATTAAACCTCTTTTCTTTACAAATTACCCAGTTTCAGGTTTTTCTTTATAGCAGTAGGTAAACAGACTAATACAACAGTATTTATAGTAGCAAAAAATTATAATCAATTTATCTTTCAAAAATAGAAAATTTATAAATTATAATGCATGTATTTTTAAATTATATAATTATATAATGTTAATTATTATAATTAATTAAATGGGCATTGTTTATTTTTTACAAAATGGAAAAAATCTAATACAGTATGTACAATATTTTGCCATATATATTTATTTGAATAAAGATAGAATAGAAGCACACCAACATTGTTAAATTGACACCTCAGGCTGATAGAATTAGGAAGTATATTTTCTATTTTTAGTCCTTTATATATTTTGCAAAATTTCTGTACAATATATGATCTGTTATAAAATCAGAATATAAATAACATAAATGTGTGCATCAGCTTCAGGCCAATTAAGCCCAACATGACAGAAAGAGACAGAGAAAAGAGTATTCTATGGTACCTCTTATTCCATTTTTAAAATATATAATCCTGCTTTCTTCCAACTATTTGTCTAGCTTTTCATTCATGTTTACAATATGTAGAAATTGCTTCCCACCCAGGCCATGTGATTTCATGAATAAATGACTCAACAGTAGGAAGGCTAGATCAATTACATCATACATATCAACATTCTGTTTATATACCTAAACTATGAAAACTTTTTCTCTTTACATGGGCATATATAGATACATATAAGTACAAATGTAAACATACACATATGTATGTGCACATATATATACACACACATGCACACATAAACGTATATTGCATATGAAGAAGAGAGACAGAGAAAGAAAGACAAATGGGGGAAATATTTTCCCATGGACCTGTGTTGATCTGAAACTAAGTCTAATAATTTTATTTAAAAAATAAAAGATATATGAGAAACATAAGGATGATGAATGATATTTTTTTCTCTTTTATAGAGTTATACTTAGAAATTTATATAGAATGTTTGTCTTTCCTATTTTTTGGTGTTAATTTTATTTGATATTAATATTATGTCAACACATAGTTCTTTGTTGTATTTTTTAAAATTGACGTATAATAGTTGTACATATTTTTGGAGTACATGTGATATACTGATTCCTATATACAATGTGTAATAATCAAATCAGGGTAATTGGGATATCCATCACCTCAAATATTTATCATTGCTTTGTTTTGGGAATGTTTCATATTTTTTCTTCTAGCTACTTTGGAATATACAATAATTACTGTTAATGATTTATTTATTTATTGTTTTAATTTTTTAATTAATTTATTTTTTGAAATGGAGTCTCGCTCTGTCTCCAGGCTGGAGTGCAGTGGCACGATCTCGACTCGCTGCAACCTCTGCCTCCTGGGTTCAAGCGATTCTCCTTCCTCAGCTTCCCGAGTAACTGGGATTACAGGCACACGCTGCCACGCCCAGATAATTTTTGTATTTTTAATAGAGATAGGGTTTCACCATGTTGGCCAGGATGGTCTTGATCTCTTGACCTCGTGATCCTCCCACCTCGGCCTCCCAAAGAGCTGTGATTACAGGCATGAGCCACCACGCCTGGCCACTGTTAACTATTTAATATAATTTCCCTACTGTACTACCAAATACTGAAAATTCTTCCTTCTATCTAACCGCATTTGTATAGCTCTTAATGAACTTCATCTACCTTCCCAGCTTCCCTTTTCAGACTCTGGTAACCACCATTCTACTGTCTACATTCCTGAAATACACTTTTTTAGCTCTCACTTATGAGTGAGAACATGCGGGATTTGTCTTTCTGTGCTTCACTTATTTCACTTCATGACCTCAAGTTCCATCCATGTTGCTGCAAATGACAGACTTTTACTATGTTTTATGACTTAATAATATTCCATGGTGTCTATATACCACATTTTCTTTATTCATTAATCTGTTGATGGACACATGGGTACATTTTATATGTTGGCAATTGTAAATAATGCTGTAAAAAACATAGGAGTAAAGATATCTCTGTAATTTACTGATTTCCTTTCTTTCGGATATATAACTAGTGGTGAAATTGCTGGGTAACATTGTAGTTCTATTTTTTACATTTTTGAGAGACCTCCATATGCTTTTTTATAATGGCTACACTACTTTATATTCCCACTAAGAGTGTGCAAGTGTCCCCCATTCGTTCTATCCTTGCCAGGATTTGTTAGTTTTTCATTATAGACATTGTAGCTAGGGTGAAATGATACTTCATTGTGGTTTTGATCTGAATTTCCCTAATGACTAGTAATGTTGAACATTTTTTCATATACCTGTTGGCTATAACTATGTCTTTGTTTAAGAAATCACATTATGTTTCCGCAATGTCCCTTTTAGTAAACTAAAAACTTAATAACCATATGTAGGACATCAACAAAATAAATAATATCTAGTGGGGCCATCCATCACTAACATTGTATGAGCCCGTGTTTTGAAGCTACTGTCTTTCGGAATCCTCTCCACTCAGACCTTGCAAGTAGCTGCTTATATAAGACTGGCCCCAACTAGAAGCCTTGGAAGGTAAGATCTGTCCTCAAATGGGGTTTACAACAATAAAAATCCTACATTTCCCTATTCCTACATTTCCCTATTCCATCCTTCCAGAAGAGAAAATCGTCCATCTCATTGTGGTTAGAACATGGGAACAATGATGAAAAAGAATAAAATAAGGAGAAGGCCAAGTTCTGCCAATAAACTATTAGTGCAGCAACATAATTGACACCAGTTTCCTGGTAGCTTCTGAATTATAGGGATAAAGACTGAATTAATAATTTCTCATCCCTAACATACATACATAAAAGCTGCTATCGAAGCTATGGTTTCTGCTGCTGTTATCCCCATAGCCTGCTAAAGGCCATTTTAATCTTTTACTTGGGCTTTCCTAGTATCTTCCTGGTTCTATGCTCAGAATGAGCCCTCCAAGTCAGTCTCAGATGAACCATCTAGAAAAACTAATTTTGAACTCATGCCTCTGACTTGACATCTCAGGTCTCTATGCCTGCTGGCCAGAGATCTAGGGGCATTCTTAGATGGCAGCTGCAGTTGTGACATCTGGAACAAAAACAAGGATGCAAGTTACTTGGCTCCTTTCCTTGTGGAACACAGCCACTGCCCATTTCATGTCTTGATTTTTTGTATTCATTCTGGTAGAAAACAACACTAAAAAAAGAAGAAAATAATGTTTTTGTGTCATCTCATCATGTGACAGACAGAGAAAACACTATGATCAGTTATTTTGGCAAAATGCAACTGGCCATGCTCTATTTGAAATAAATTGACACAAAGAAAATACACATGAATGACACAGCCTATATATGGCAAATCTAACACACCCAATAGTATCTGTGGTTGCTGGTTCCAGCACAGCAAGGCCGAGAGGATGCTATTCTGGGTCTGAAATGTGAGAAAGATTTGCCAGGCCACAGCTCCTTAAATACTCCTTTCTTGCAAGTTAAATTGAGGCTTTGTAGGAAAAGGGTGCCTCTTTGTCTGATTAATGAAGGTTTAAGCTCTCCTCTTGTTGTCATACAAATTCATTCTGAGGTACTCACTCCCATTTAAAAAATAATATATATTTATAAATATATTATTTAAAAATATATTTTTAATGGAAGTGAGTACCTATACTTGATTATATATATATATTTTATATATTATAATATAATATATATAATTATATATAAATATATATAATTATTTATATATAATATAATGTAATGTATATAAAATATAATATATATATAAAATCAAGTATAGGTACTCACTTCCATTAAAAATATATTTTTAAATAATATATTAACAAATTATATATATTATATATAATATAATATATATATATAATCAAGTATAGGTACTCACAATATATAATATATGTATATATAAAAAATCAAGTATTGGCTGAGGATATTCAAAACGTCACATCATAAACATTAATGAACAGAACACTTGGCTTTGATAATGATTAAGCCCTGTTTCTGACCTAATGCCACTCAGACAATGAATGCTTGGGCAGGAATTGGAGCAAAAGACTTCCATGGCTGAGATCAGAGTCTTCAGAAGCTTTGCTTTCTGTTGCCCACATTAGAGGATCAAGGACATTTCACATCTGTTATTTCCTTTAAATGTATAAACTTACCAGGAGGTAAATTACCGTGGGATTTTGATTGGACATTAAATAGATAATTGAAACATAAAATTCATTTGCTTTAAGACATATTGATGCCCTTTTGTAAAAGTAATAATACCCCCATAATTGTCACTACAAACAGAAAAAAAATTTTGAATCCAGAGTATTTACATAGTCAACTGACTCACTGTCCCTCTGATATCAACTGTCATTTATTAAAAATAAATTATTTTAAAGCATTGTGGTTTTTTCATTTCGTTTTGTTTTGTTTTGCTTCAACCAGGAAGGAGAAATTCCAGAAGATGGCCAGTTTGTTTGTTATTTGGTTTTACAAAGGTGCCTAATGTTTCAGTTTATTTTGTGAAAACATGTTTACCCATCTCTTCATTTCTTAACTAATTTCCTTTTTTAACTCTTATTTTAAGTTCAGGGGAACATGTGCAGGTTTGTTATGCAGGTAAATTGTGTATCACAGGGTTTGGGTGTACAGATTGTTTTGTTATGCAGGCAATAAGCATAGTACTAGACAGGAAGTTTTTATCCTCATCCTCCTTCCATCCTCCAGCTTCAAGTAGGCCCTGGAATCTGTTGTTTCCTAATTTGTGTCCATGTATACTCAATGTTAGTCTCCCATTACATGTGGGGACATGTAGTATTTGTTTCTTTGTTCCTGCGTTAGTTTTCTTAGGATAATGGCCTCAAGTTCCATCCATGTTGGTGCAAAGGACATGATCTCCTTCCTTTTCAAAACTGTATAGTATTCGATGATGCATATGTACCACATTTTCTTTATCTATTATACTGTTTACAGGCATTTGGCTGATTCCATGTCTTTGCTACTGTGAATACCGCTACAATGAACATATGCATGAATGTGTCTTTATGGTGGAATGATTTATATTCCTTTGGGTATACACCTAGTAATGAGATTACCCTGTTTAATGGTAATTCCATTTTCAGTTCTTTGAAAAATCACCACACTCATCTCCACAATGGCTGAATTAATTTACATTTTCACCAGTAGGGTACAAGTGTTCCCTTTTCTTCATGATCTCATCAGCATCTGTTATTTTTTTACTTTTTATTAATAGTCATACTGACTGGTGTGAGATGGCATCACATTGTGATTTTGATTTCCATTTCTCTAATGATTACTGATGTTGAACTTTTTTATAGGCTGTTGCCTGCATGTATGTCTTCTTTTGAAAAGTGTCTGCTTATGTCCTGTGTCTACTTTGTAATGGGGTTGGGTTTTTTTGCATGTAAATTTGTTTAAATTCCTTATAGATTCTGGATATTAGCCCTTTTTCAGATGCCTGGTTTGCAAATATTTTCTCCATTCTCTACGTTGTCTATTTACTTGGTTGATAGTGTCTTTTGTTGTGCAGAAGCTCATTAGTTTAATTAGGTCACATTTGTCCATTTTTGTTTATTATACAATTACTTTTGTTGTCTATTATAAAACCTTTGCCAGAGCCTGTGCCCAGAATGGTATTTCTGAGATTATCTTCCATGGTATTTATAGTTTTAGCTTTTACATTTATGTCTTTAATCCATCTTGAGTTGATTATTGTATATTGTATAAGGAAGGGATCCAGTTTCAATCTTCAGAATAGGGCTAGCCAATTATTCCAGCAACATTTATCAAATAGGGAATCCTTTCTCCATTGCTTGCATTGGTCAGCTTTTTTGAAGATCAGTTGGTTGTAGCTGTGTGACATTATTTCTGGACTCTCTATCCTCTTTGATTGGTCCATGTGTCTGTTTTTGTACCAGGACTATTCTGTTTTGTTTACTGCAGCATTAGAGTATAGTTTGAAGTCAGGTAGCATCATGTCTCCAGATTTGCCCTTATTGCTTAGAATTACCTTAGTTTCACAAACTTTTTTTATTCCATATGAATTTTTAAAGATATACTTTTTTCTAATTCTGTGAAGAACATCACTAGTCATTTGATAGGAATAGCATGGAATCTATAGATTTCTTTTGACAGTATGTACCCTGTAACAATATTTATTTTTCCTACCCATGAGCATAGAATGCTTTTTCATTTGTTTGGTTGTCTCTAATTTCTTTGAGCAGTGTGTTTGACCTTTTGGTGTATGGAAATGCTACTGAAATTTGTACATTGGTGTTGAATCCTGAATCTTTGTTAAAGTTGTTTATCAGATTTACAAGCTGTTGGGCAGAGAGTATGGGCTTTTCTATGCATAGAATCATAACATCGAAAATCAGATAGTTTGACTTCCTCTCTTCCTATTTGGATATATTTTATTTTCCTCTCTTGCCTGATTTCTCTGGATAGGACTTCCAGTACTGTGTTGAATAGCAGTGGTGAGAGTGGGCATCCTTGTCTTTTTCTGTTTTTTAACAGAAATACATTCAGGTTTTGCTCATTCAGTATGATGTTTGCTCTGGACTTGTAATAGATGGCTCTTATTAATTTGAAGTATGTTCCTTCAATGCCTAGTTAAGTGTTTTCAACATAAATGGATGTTGAATTTTATGGAAAGGCTTTTCCGTGTTTATTGAGAGAATCATGTGGTTCTTGTTTTTAGTTGTGTTTATTGGTAAATCACATTTATTGATTTGTGTATGTTGAACCACCATTGCATCCCAGGGATACAGGCTACTCCATAATAGTGGATTAGCTGTTTGATGTACTGCTGGATTCAGTTTGCTAGTATTTTATTGAGGATTTTTGCATCTGTGTTCATCAAGGATATTGACCTGATATTTTCTTTTCTTGTTGTATATCAGCCAGGTTTGGGTATCAGGATGATACGTGTTTCATGGAATAAGTTGAGGAGTCCCTTCTCTTCTATTTTTGAAAATAGTTTCAGTGGAAATGGTTCCAGCTCTTCTTCATACATTTGGTAGAATTTGGCTCTGAATCTATCTGGTCCTCAGCTTTTTCTGGTTCTTAAGCTTTTTATTACTGATTTAATTTTGGAACATGTTGTTGGTCTGTTCAGGGATTCAATGACTTCTTGGTTCAATCTTGGAAAGTTGTATGTTGCCAGGAATTTAATCATTTCTTCTAGGTTTCCTACTTTGTGTGCATAGAGATGCTCATAATAGTCTCTGAGGGTTTTTTGTTTGTTTGTTTGTTTTAAAATTCTGGGTGCTTATGGTAACGCCCACTTTGTCATTTTTGATTGTGTTTATTTGGACCTTCTGTTTTCTTTATTCCTCTAGCTAGTTGTCTATCAATTTTATATTTTTTTTTCTAAGAATGAACTCCTGGATTCGTTGACCTTTTGTATGTTTTATTTTTTTAAATTTGCTGAAGATTGTTTTATAGCTGACCGTGTGGCTGATTTTGGAGTATGTGCCATATTGAGATGATAACAATGTATATTCTGTTGTTTTTAGGTGGAGAGTTTTGTAGATATCTCTTAGGCCCATTTGATGAAGTTTTTAGTTCACGTCCTGAATATCTTTGTTAGTTTTCTGTCTTTCTTATCTATCTAATACTGTCAGTGGGGTGTTGAAGTCTCCTGTCATTATTGTGGGGATATCTAAGAGTCTTTGTGAGTCTCTACGAATGAATTTTATGACTCTGGGTGTTCCTGTGTTGGGTGAGTATATATGCAGGATAGTTAGGTCTTCTTGTTGAATTGAACCCTTTTCTATCATTTGTTACCACCAGAACTGCCACCATACCACCAGAAATGCCTTTTATTTATCTTTCATGATCATCGTTAGTTTTAGTCTGTTTTCTCTGAAATTTAAATAGTAACCCCTGCTGTTTCTGTTTTCTATTCTCTTGTAGATTATTCTTTATCCTTTTACTTTGAGCTTCTGGGTGTCATTGCATGTGAGATAATCTCTTGAAGATAGCATACAGTTGAGCCTTACATCTTTATCCAACTTACCACTCTATGCCTTCTACTTGGGGTATTTAGACCCTTTTACATTCAAGGTTAATATTGATGTGTAAATTTGATCTTGTTAGAGTGTTGTTACCTGGCTATTATGCAGACTTCATTGTGTGGTTACTTTAGTGTGTCAGTGTCCTATGCATTTAACTGTGTTTTGGCTGTGGCTGGTAAGTCTTTCCTTTTCATATGTAGCACTCCCTTAATGACCTTCTGTACGGAAGGTCTGGTGGTAACCAGTTTTTATTTGCTTATCTGAAAAGGATCTTATTTATCCTTTGCTTATGAAGCTTAGTAGTTTGGTTGGATAGACAATTATTTGTGGGAATCTCTTTTCTAGAAGAATGCTACATATACCCCCCAGTCTTTTATAGCTTGTAGGGTTTCTTCTGAAAGGTCCGCTGATAGTCTAATGGAGTTATCTTGGTAGATTACCTGCCTCTTCTCTGTATCTTTCTGTATTAGTACACTTTTACACTGCTTTAAAGATACTACTTGAGACTGGGCAATTTATAAACAAAAGAGGTTTAATTGACTCACAGCTCCACATGGCTTGGGAGGCCTCAGGAAACTTACAGTCATGGTAAAAGGCAAAGGGGAAGCATGCATCTTTTTTACAGGGTGGCGAAAGAGAGAAGGAGTGAGAAGGGGAAATCCCAGACACATAGCAAACAACCAGATCTCATGAGAATTCCCTCACTATCATGAGAACATCATGGGGGAAACTGCCCTCATGATCCAATCACCTCATGCCAGTTCCCTCCCTTGACACATGGGGATTAAAATGTGAGAAGAGATTTGGGTGGGGACACAGAGCCAAACTATATAATTCCACCCCTGGCCCCTCCCAAATTTCATGTCCTTTACACATTTCAAAACCAATCACTTCATCCCAGCAGTCCCCTAAGTCTTAACTCATTTCAGCATAAACTCAAAAGTCCTAGTCCAAAGTCTCATCTGAGACAAGGCAAGTCCTTTCTGCCTATGAGCCTGTATAATCAAAAGCAAGTTAATTGCTTCCAATATATAATGGGGATACAGGCATTGGGTAAGATGTTCCCATTCCAAATAGGAGAAATTGGCCAAGACAAAGGGACCACGGGCCCCATGTAAGTCCAAAACCTTGCAATGCAGTAGTTAAATCTTAAAGCCCAAAATGACCTTATTTGACTCCATGTCTTACATCCAGGCCAGATTGATGCAAGGGGTAGGTTCCCGTGTCCTTGGGCAGCTCCACCCCTATGGCTCTGGAGAGTACAGCTCATGTGGCTGCCTTCATGGGATGGTACTGATGTCTATGCTTCTTTTGTTTGTTCATCTTGCCTAGTATCTCACACTTGTTCTCTGAATTTTCTCAATTTGTATGTTGGTCTTTCTAGTGAGGTTGTGAAAATTTGTGAAAGATATTCTCAAATATGCTTTCTGCATTGCTTGCATTATCTGCTTCTCTTCTCTGATGAAAAATGAGTAATAGATTTGGTCTCTTTACATAATGCCACGTTTATCAGAGGTTTTGTTCATTCCTCTTTAAAAATTTTTTTTTATGACTGAGCTATTTTGGACAATTGGTTTTTGAGCTCTGAAATTCTTTCTTTAGCTTGTTGATTCTGCTGCTGATACTTGTGATTGTATTATAAAATTTTTCAAGTGAGCTTTTCAACTCTATCACATCAGTTTTGTTCTTGTTTATAATGGGCATTTTGTCTCTTCTGTATCTCTTGATTGTATTTATTTAATTCCTTGGATTGGTTTTCAACTTTTTCCTGGATGTTAATTTTCTTCATTTCTATTCACGTTTTGAATTCCATTTCTGTTATTTCAGCCATTTCAGCCTGCTTAAGAACCATTGCTTGGGGACTAGTGTAATCATTTGGAGGTAAAGGAAGACATTCTGGCATTTGAGTTGCCAGAGTTCTTATGCTGGTTCTTTCTTATCTTTGTGAGCTGATGTTACTTCAGTTTTTAAAGTTGCTGTCCTGCTAATTTTTTTTCTTTCAGCTTTTTTGATGCACTTGGTGATTTAATTGTGGTTTAAGTTTGGATCATTTGACTAACTTCATCTCTGGAAGATTTTAAGGGATCAAGTCCCAGCTCAGCACTCTTGGTTTGCATGCTGTAACTCTGTGGCTCTGTTAGTGGGTTGCCAGCTTTGTTCTTTGGCCCCTTGAGGTCAGGAACCTGCTCTGCTAGTTGAGTCAAGGTGTTTCCTGTCTGCTGGTCACAGAACTCCAATAGCTGGTGCCAGCCAAAGCACTTTTTCAGGGTGGTGGTAGTGAGGCCAGTGCTTGTTTGCATATGCCAATAGCTATACCAGCGTGAGGGAGTACATTTGCAATGACTAGGGTGAGGTACTGGCAGAAGTGGTGCTTCAGCATTCCTAAGTGTGCTCACATCTGTGGTGGGGTGCATGTGGGGGCAGGGTTGCTGGTCTTCAGGCTTACGCTTGCCCCAGTGGCAGCTGGGGCAGTAAGCTGATGGGGGCAGGGTTGTTGGCCTTCATGCATGCTTTTGCACAATCAGTAGTGGCAGTGCAGGGGTGGAGGGGTTGCTGGCATCTGTGTGTTCATTTGCAGTGGTGGTAGTGACACTTGACTGGTATTCTAAGGCAAAGACAACGTAAGTTATTATTTCTCACAAGGTTAAAATCAATCTTAAAGCTTCACTGACCTAGGTAAGACTGAAACTAACAGACACTGCTAAACACTTGAATATTTTTTCTTGTTAAAATGCTTAAAATGATTTAATTGTATTTATTAAATAGTTAATGTTTTAAGTTTCTGTTTACACTCTAATGCAGAAGGCAATTGTCTCTAAATCACAGTACCAGAGTGTTAACAAAGAATGTTTAATAATGTATTTTACCAAAAATATGTAAACTTTTAAAACTGTTCATTGTTTATATGTTGGTAAGCATGACTATTTTAACTTTCTATTGAAGTTTCATGATTAGATATTACAGTAATCATTATGAGGTGATTTCTAGAACAAGACCTACATCAAAAATAAAGTTTAAAATGTCTTTGTTCAAATTTGCAGGTTGAAGAGAAGAAAAATATCCTTTGATTAATATAATATTTAAAAACTTGCCATTAAGAAATTTTGTTTTGTTTTATCCGTGTATATGATTTACATATTTCAACACCTGAAATTACTTACATGTCCTCCCTCACAACTTTAACAAACCAACTCTGCCAAAGATAAACCATCCAAAGTACAAAGCTACAGCAATGGCTTTCTCCCTAAAGTGGCTGTTAGGAAAAGTTTTAAAACTTTGGTATTAGCTAGCCAGAAGGATATAATCATCTTGTGTGGTAATTAATGCAAATAATTATTGTTAAAGATGTATCTAAGAAAACAAAAATGAGGCAGTCTTTAAACTGGAGCAGTACAGATAATTCACTTACAGGGACCAATAGTATAAATTTATTTTAACCTTTTACATGCCTTGATTGAAATAAGACACACTTCGTTGACTGCATAGTTAAGTGTCTTATTTCCCATAATGCTCCTAAACCTGCTATAAATTGTCTTGCTTTTGTCATCACTCTCCATTTTTCCTGAACAACATTCTCTCCCCTTCTCAGGCTTGTTTTCTTCTGTCTATTCGTAAAATCTCATTTAAATGTTGGCCTTTTTCATCTGTGTATCATCATTGTCAAACTCCCCTCCTTTAGCTCAATACGGCTTATATTTTCTATGCTTGTATTCATTTTTTACATGTAAAAATGTTTTAATTCTCCAATGCAATAATAAGTTCCTTGAAGATAAAGGTTATTTTAGATGTCTTCATATTCCCTCAAAGAACTCATTAAAAGAATAGATATCTTAAGAATAAATCTTCACACATATGATCAGCTGACTTTTAAAAAGGTGTCAGGACCATTCAATAGGAAAAGAAAAGTCATTTCAGCAAATGTTGTTGGAAAAATATATCCACATGCAAGGTAATGAAGTTGGATGTTTACTGTATATCATATGCAAAAATTAATTCAAAGTGAATCTAAGACATAATCTTAATAGCTAAAACTCTTAGTAGAAAACATAAAGGGAAAACTTTATGACATTGTATTTAGCAATTTTTTTGGATATAACACAAAAAATACCTGAAATACAAAAATAAATAAACTAGGCTTTATTAAAATTAAAACTTTGGTGTAGCAAAGGACCCAATCAACAGAGTGTAAGGGTAAGTTGCAGCATTAGAGAAAATATTTTCAAATTATATATTTGGTAAGGGATTACTATCCAGAATGTGTAACAAACTCCTTCAACTAAACAACCACAACAACAATAAAATAATCCAATTAAAAATGGGCAAATTACTTCAATAAATATTTTTCAAAAAATATATATATATATCTAGTAAGTAGATGGAAAGATTCTTAATATAATTAGTCTTCATGGAAGTGCAAATCAAAATCGCAATGAGATAGCATGGTGAAATACCTACCAGGGTAGATATAATCAATAGAACAGAAAATAAGAGTTTGTAAGAATGTAAAGAAATGAGAACATTTGAGCCTCAGTGATGGCAATGAAAAATGGTGAAGTCACTATGGAAAACAATTTGACAATTTTCCAAGAGGTTATACATATAACTACAATATATCCAAAATAATTGAAACAGGGACAGGACTTGAACAAACATTTGTACAACAATGTTTATAACAGCATTATTCACAATAGCCAAAAGTTGGAAACACCCCAAAGATTCATTAGATGGATAGACAGATAAATAGATAAACCAAATGTGGTATATACATACAATGACATGTTATTCAGCATTAGAAAAATAAAATTATGATGCATACTACAACTTTTATGAACATTTAAGACAATGTGCTAAACAAAATAAGTTAGACAGAAAAGACTACAGTAGGATTCCACTTCTATGAGTAACAGAATAGGCAAATTCATAGAAGCAGAAAGTAGTATAGAGGTTACCAAGGCTGGGGGAAAGGAATGTGGGAAGTATTGTTTAATGGGTATACAGTTTTATTGATGATTATAAAATATTTTGAGTATGGATACTAGTGAGAGTTATGCAAATTGTGAATATATTTAATGCCAATGAATTATACATCTATGAATTATAAGATTATAATTATTTTGCTATATGTATCTACAACAATAAGAAAAGAAGACATGCACTAACCTAACACAATATTATTTCAAAACATTTGACAAACTAGCTAAATTAGATGGATTAACATGCATTACTATCCAAAATTTGACTTGCTTTTAGCTACCCAGGTGAATAAGATAGTTACAGTGCAATAGCTTTGATCTTGCCTCTTTATTTCTCCTCTCATTATGATATTATACTGATTCTCTGGTGCTCTTTCCAAGTAGTTACCCTCAGCTCATGAGTAAATGTTCCAATTGTAAAATTTCTGACTGATTAAATCCAAAGAAAACATGTAAGTTAATCTTCTTCTTTTAAATAATAAAATTAAAATGAAGAAAATTTAAGAGCTTGTGAAAATTTCCAGACCAATAAGAGTCAGGAGTAGGACTAGAAAGTAAATTACTTGAGGTGTATTAAGTGTTAATGCTGCTAAGACAAGAGTCTTAGGATTAAATTTGATGTCAATATTTTTACATGTAGACAGTCTATGCCTGATCTGCAAATTAGGTAGTCCAATATTAAAATAATAATTTCTTGGATCTAGATTTGTTTGGAATGATGGAGTGTAACACATATGTATCTACATTTTCAAAGAAGAATTGATGTGGCTGGCTCTTTCTTCTCTAAGTCATAACTGAAGTGTCATTCCCTCAGAGAACCCTTTCTTGGCCATCCTCTTAAAGTGTCTTCCATTACTCTATATTACATTATCCATTATGTTTTCTTATATTGCATTTTGCACTCAAATATTTAATATACTTACTTGTTTATTGTTCTACCTTCATTGGAACATATGATTATCGTAGTTTGTCTTTTTCACCTTTTTGTGCCTGGCAACAAATATAGTATGTGGTACTGACAAAGGATTCAGTAGATTTCTACTGAATGAGTGGGTAAAGCCAAATTTAGGGCATATGGAATGAAGGGAAACAAGATGGCTACAAAAATCTCTGGTGCATTTATATAAGAGAGTGGTGAAGGAAGAGAATTGAGGAAGACTTCTTAAAAATAAAACAAAGACCTAATAGAATGTAAGCAGTTGAAAAAATTTGAGACAGCAGGAGGGTGCAGTAGGGGAGAATTGAATACAGAATGTGGGAGGTCACTTTGCTGAACTCTTCTCGAAATCAGTGACATGGGAGTTTCCTATGAAGGTGTTATTCAGCTTGATCTTTTCTAGGCTGAAAATGAAAACATTTCTGAAACACCAGAAATAAAGACACACAATGTGTTATGTATAGCCAGAGAGCCACAGTTAAATATTCACTTAGCTACGTAGTAAAACTTACCTCAGACCTAAGAAGTCTGGCAGAGTAATTGTTACCTAAAAATGATCATTTGGGCTGGGTGCGGTGGCTCAAGCCTGTAATCTTAACAGTTTGGGAGGCTGAGGCAAGCGGATCACTTGAGGTCAGGAGTTTGAAATCAGCCTGCCAACTTGGTGAAACCCTGTCTCTACTAAAAATACACACACACAAAAAAATTAGCCAGGTATGGTGGCAGACACTTGTAATCCCAGCTACTCGGGAGGCTGAGGCAGGAGAATCGCTTGAACCTGGGAATCAGAGGTTGCAGTGAGCCAAGATCGTGCCACTGCACTCCAGTCTGGGTGAAAGAGTGAGACTCCGTCTCAACAAAAAATAAAATAAAATAATGATCATTTGAGTTTTTGTAACAATTTATTTTAAGGATGAAATAATAACATTCATCAAACGGGTGGAGAAAATGCAAGCAGTAAAATGCAAATAAGCAATAGGTGGTGTGTCTTGACAAAACTACTGCCTTTGAATATTGTGGATCGAGGTACCAGCTTACTGAAATTTCCAACAATTACAGTGGGGCAATCGATGGACAAATTACAAAATCTGAGAATTTCATAGTGATACCCTGGAAACAAAAAATGTGGCTCTACTTATGGAAGCTCCATTAAAATGAATATGAAAAGTTTATGAAGTCCTGAAGCCCAAACTTTACTTGGAGGAGCATAGCATTTGGGTCCTATTTGTATAGAGGAAAAGAGACTCTATTGACAAAGACTAAACAGAATGTGGTAGAAGTGTGTATTTCCTCAGTAGAAATAACAAAGAATTGATGTTTCTAAGGAGTCTCACCTTTGGTAAATTTTGTACTAAGCTCATTTGTCTTTGTCGGCATAATATTCTCCAAAATATCATCATTCTGTTTGAGTAAAGCAAGATCATGGATATTCCCTTTCTCATTTTTCTATCTTTCTTTCTTCTTTTATTCTACTCTTAATAATGAGAAAGAAAGCAATTCAATTTCCCTAGTCTTAACTTACTCTGCAATAAATAGAAGCTGTGAGTCAGTCTTCTTCTTGTACTCCCTGATGGGGATGTTCAGGCTCTGAAAATTTTTCTACTACTCATCTCATCATTTTGTGATTTTGTTTTCATTGCTTGCCTTTGTGTCTTTTAAAAATCACTTTTTGTGCTTCCCTAAATTTCATTATCATTACAGTTTTCCTCAGTTTTATATATTATAAACTGGGTATGCTCTTTCTGCATGATTGATTACATTCTGCACTTCTCTTTCTTTTATAGTGGCCTTTAAAATCTACCACTATGTACCCTCGAATGTAATTATTTATGGATGGCACGCATAGCCTGTGAGTATACATCCATTTACCTTTGGGCGCTTTATATTTTCCCTCTATCCTTTGCTTCCATAATACTAAATGACTCAAATTTGTCATGCACTTCCTACAGACTTCTGTGACTGGCTTTGCTGACAATCATACAGCTCAGTTTTCTATCCCTTAATCAAAACTCAGGTAAGAAAAATTGCTGTTTAACTGTTCCACATTTTCCAACATAGCCAATCTAATAAGTGTGGTTTGAGCTAAACCAAATCAAGAATTGCTATTACCTTTAAATTATTTTTATTTATACTTTGAGGAGTTTCAAAATATAAAATGATTTTCTTTTTGATTTATTTATGATGTCATTTTTTAAAAGATTAGACAAAATATCTTTCTCTTCTCACTTTGAAGATTATGCACAAAGTTAACTTCTTAGACTGTGACCTATAATTTAAAGTCGTAATCATTTGGCCACCTACATAACTCTCCTGAAATCATACAACTATGTTTTTGCTTCACTTTTTTTAAGTCTTCTAATAGCAATTATAGTTTTCTTCCAAACATTTTTAGATTTCCGTTCCAACTAAATTTTTTGGGTTGGATACATTGGTCATAATTTTCTGAAGATATTTTTGATATGCAATATTTAATTATACAAATTTCAATATCTACTCATGCAAAACAGGCATGTGTTTACTACAAATTGGGACAGAGAATGTGTCAAACATATAAAGTAAGCCTCATCATCAAACTGGTTTTGGCATCAGTGATGTAGATATTGTGTTAAATGGAGAAGCTTTGATTATTTTTAGAACTTCATTGGATAGGTTGTAATGATTGATTGTCATGCTGGACTAATTTTTATAGAGAAGATGATTAGGCAGAGTCTCTGTGAATTCTACAAATTCAATATGAGCCTTTAGTGGACCTTTTTCATTTCCCAGCTGTTACTCACAACAAACACTTTCACTCTTAATTTCAAGTTCCTTGTAGATAAAATTTGTGCTTTTCAATATTACTTTCAGCATCCTTCAGAATTATATTCCATCTAATCTGTCCAACTTATCACCTAATTTTCCTAAATATAAATATTTCACTTAATCCAGGTTAGGTTAGGTTTTACATCTACTAAAATAATCTGAGGAGGGAAACGTTTGCTTCTTTGTGTTTGCTCATGATTTATCTCAGGCCTAGAATACTGTCTCCTCTACTCTTTATCCAAATTCTATTGAGGTCAAGTGCCATATCCTTTAGCAAGCAAATCTTCACTTAGTCTAGCCCAATTTATGCACTATTTTGCAAGAGTAGTTAGTTTGTGTCATGTAATTCAGTTTTTGGTTGCATGCTGATTTGCATTATGATTTAATATTTCCACAAATATAATGTGTTTTTGTTTAATTGGTTGCTGCGTAAGCTCCTTCAGGAGAGGGACTATACATTGCCTTATTATATTAGTGTAGTATGGCAAAGAGGAAATGTTTTTGAGTAATCAAGTTTCTCATTCTGGCTTCTCCACTTATTTTCTGTGTGACCTTGGATTAGTTAACCTCTTTGAGCCTTATTTATTTCTGAAAAATAAAATTGTGATAATCATGGTACTTACTTTGACAGTATTGTCATAAGAAACAAAAAAGATAATGCATGTTGTCTATTTTGCTGAATACTTGACCCATAAAAAATTATCCATAAAAAGAGTATAGCTTAGCGGTTAAGGATATAGTTTCTAGATATGTACTGCCCAATTTGATAGCCACTAGCTACATATGACTATTAAACTTAAATTAATATTAAATACAATTTAATCCCTCAATTGTACTAGCCACATCTCAAGTATTTAATAGCCACATATGTCAAGTTGCTACCGTATTAGCCATTATAGGTAGATAATATTGTAGGAGTTAAGAAAAAAATTCCCCTTCATTGTATAAAGGCTCACTGAAAATCAACTGATAAAAAACAGAATAATAAGAGAAGAAACATACAAATTTATTAATGAGAATAGGTAGAAAATCACAACATGATTACCCCACCACATAATGGATTACAGATGGTTATATGCATTTCTTCTTAGGGGAAAGGAAAGTAGGAAATTTAGGATAATTTTAGAGGGGTAGTAAGTAATTCTTAGGGTAATTCAATGGGATATAAGATCATACAATGGCCCAAGACAAATTCTGCTGGACCCACAGGACAATGGTTTGTGACAAAAGTCTGTCCAGGAGTGTTGACAGGCTTCAGTCTTTCCTCTCATGATTTGAGTTCTGTGAATGAAACTCAACAGAAAGACCAGAGGTAATGGTTTTATTCTTTGACAGGTCTGGACTTTAGGCAGATAAGAGAACTTCAGAGATTAACTTGATACTGTGCTTTGGGAGAGACAGAGGGTTGAGAGATGATGGGATGGGGTGTTCAGAGAGAACTTGAGGTTTCTTCTTCAATTCAGCATGTCAGACCACTATCCCTGGTAAACATGGATATGAAAATCCTCAACAAAATACTAGTTAACCAAATCCAGTAGTATATCAAAAAGACAATACACCATGATTAGGTGGGTTTTATACCAGGGCTGCAGGTATAGTTTAACATATGCAAGTCAATAAGTGTGAAACATAACATAAAACAAGAATTAAAAACAAAAATTATATGATTATCTCAATAGATGCAGAAAAAGCATTTGAAAAAATCCAGCATCTCTTTATGATTAAAACCCTCAGCAAAATTGGCTTAGAAGGGATATACTTCAAGGCAATAAAAGCCATCTATGACAAACCCACAGCCAACATTATAATGAATGCGGAAAAGTTTAAAACATTCCCCCTAAGAACTGCAACAAGACAAGGATGCCCATTTTCTATTCAACATAGTACTTGATGTCCTAGCCAGAGCGATCAGACAAAAAAAAGAAAGGAAGGAAAGAAGAAAGGAAGGAAGGAGGGAAGGAAGGAAGGAAAAAAGAAGAAAGAAAGAAAAAGAAAGAAAGAAAAGAAAGAAAGAAAGAAAGAAAGAGAAAGAAAGAAAGAAAGAAAGAAAGAAAGAAAGAAAGGGAAGAGTTATGTTAGTTGGCATAGAGAAGGTCAAACTGTGACTCTTCACTGATGATATGATAGCATACCTAGAAAACACTAAAGAGTCAGTTGAAAAGCTTCTAGACCTGATAAATGAATTCTATAAAGTTTCAGGATACCAAATTGATGTACACAAATCAGTAGCACTGCTTTATACTAACAATAACCTTAGAACAGCTGCAAAAACAATAAAATACTTAGAAATGTACCTAACAAAGGAGGTGAAAGATTTTTACAAGGAAAACTACAAAACACTGCTGAAAAAAATCATCAATGACACAAACAATAGAAACACATCTCATTCTCATAGATGGGTAGAATCAATATTGTGAAAATGACCATATTGCCAAAATCAACAGATTCAATGTAATTGTCATCAAAATACCATCACCATTGTTCACAAAAGTAAACAACAACAACAACACAATTTTAAAATTCATATAAAACCAAAAAAGAGCCCACATAGCAAATGCAAAACTAAGCAGAAAGACCAAACTTGGAGGCATCACATTACCCAACTTCAAACTATACTACAAGGCTGTAGCTACCACAACAGCATGGTAGTGGTATAAAAATAGGCATGTAGACTAATGGAAGAGAATAGAGAACCCCAGAAGTAAAGCCAAATTCTTACAGCCAACTGATCTTTGAAAAAGGAAACACAAATATAAAGTGGAAGAAGGACATTCTATTCAACAAACCGTGCTGAGATAATTAGCAAGCTACATGTAAAAGAATAAAACTGGACCCTCATCTCTCACCTTATAAAAAAATCAACTCAAGATAAATCATAGGCTTACATCTAAGACCTGGAATCATAAAAATTCTCAAAGATAATGTTGGAAAAACTCTTTTAGACACTGGCTTAGGCAAAGAGTTCATGACCAAGAACCCAAAAGCAAATGTAACAAAAACAAACAACAACAACAACAACAAAATAGATGGGACCTAAGTAAGCTAAAAACTCCTGCACAGCAAGAGAAATAATCAGCAGAGTACACAGACACCCCACAGAATGGGAAAAATATTTGCAAACTATGCATCTGTCATAGGACTAATATCTAGAATCTATGATAACTCAAACAAATCAGCAAGAAGAAAAACCAAATAACTGAATCAAAAAATGGGCAGAGGACATGAATAGATAATTCTCAAAAGTAGATACACGAATGGTCAACAAATATGTGAAAAGATGCTCAACATCACTAATTTTCAGGAAAATGCAAACTATGACCACAATGAGATACCACCTTACTCTTGTAGGAATGGCCATAATTAGAAAATCAAAAAATATATAATAGATGTTGGTGTAAATGTGCTGAAAAGGTAACACTTTTACACTGCTGGTGGGAATGTAAACCAGTACAACCACTGTGGAAAACAGTATAGAGATTCTTTAAAGAACTAAAAGTAGAACTATCATTTGATTCAGGAACCCCACCACTGGGTATCTACCCCAAGGAAAAAAATATATATTATATGAAAAAGACATAACTGCAAAAATAAGGAACAAGCCTAAATGCTCATCAATGAATGAGAGGATAAAGAAAATGTGGTATATATACACCACATAATACTACTCAGCCAAAAAAAGGAACAAAATTATGGCATTTGCATCAACCAGTATTGAGTTTAAGACCATTATTCTAAGTAAAGTAACTCAGAAATGGAAACCCAAATATCATACATTCTCACTCAAAAATGGGGGCTAAAGCTATGAGGATTCAAAGACATAAAAATGATATAATGAAATTTGGGGACTTTCTGGGAAGAGTGGGAGGGGATTGAGGGATCAAAGTCTACACAACTGCTTGGGACAGGTGCACAAAAATCTCAGAAATTACCACTTAAGAACTTATTCAGGTAACCAAATACCACCTGTTCCCCCAAAACTATTAAAATTTTTAAACTAAAATAAAATATTTATTTAAATATTTTTAAAAACTTTATATGCGTCCTTATGTGTTAGGTGAGTCTCTTGAAGACAGGACATACTTAATTGGCAAAGGCTTATCTATTCTGCCATTCTTTATTATTTAAGTGCAGCATTTAGACATTTATTTTCAATGTCAGTATTGAGAGGTGAGGTACTGTTCTATTCATCATGCTAGCTTTTGCCTAAATACCTTGTTTTTTTAATATTATGTTATTGTTTTATAGGCCCTGTGAGATTTATATTTTAGGGAGGTTCTATTTTGGTGTATTTCTAGTTTAATTTTGATGGATACAAAATTATTGGCTGACAGTTATTTTGTTTCAGGAGGCTAAAGATAGACTCCAATCTATTCTGGTTTGTAAGGTTTCTTCTGAGAAATCAGCTGTTAATCTGATTAGTTTTTCTTTACAGGTTATTAGGTTCTTTTGTCTCAGAGATTTTAGGATTCCTTTCTTCATCTTGACTTTAAATAACCTGATGACTATGTGCCTACGTGATGATCTTTGCGTGATGCATTTTTCAGGAGTTCTTTGAGCTTCTTGTATTTGAATGTCTAGATAGCTAGCAAAGTGAGGGAAAGTTTCCTTCAATTGTTTCCTCAAGTAAGTTTTCTAAACTTCTAGATTTGACTTTTTTTCTCAGGAGCACCAATTATTTTTAGGTTTGGTCATTTAAACTAATCCCACATTTTTTGAAGATGTTATTTATTTATTTACTTATTTATTTAGTCTTTTTTCGATTGAGTTAATTTGAAATTCTTGTCTCTAAGTTCTGAAGTTCTTTTATCTGTTTGTTCTAGTCTATTGTTGAAATCATCCAGCGAATTTTGTATTTCTCTAAATGTGTCTTTTATTTCCAGAAATCGTGATTTTTTTTTCTTTATAATATCTATTTCTCTGAAGAATTTTTCATTCATAAACTGTATTTTTTAAATTTTTTTAAGTTGGTTTTCACCTTTCTCTGGTATCTCCTTAGTAGCTTAATAGTTAACTTTCTGAATTCTTTATCTGACAATTCAGAAATTTCTTCTTGGTTGTTTGGGTCTATTGCTGAGGAGCTTGTGTAAACTTTGGGGAGTGTTATAAAACCCTCTTTTGTCATGTTACCAGAATTACTTTTCTTTTTCCTTCTTATTTTGGTAGACTATTTCTTGAGATTGTTGAATTGTGTTTTTTTGTTTTTTTTCTTTTTTCCCTCTTATAAATCAGATTTTAATGTTGAATTTTGCCTAATTTTATTCTTGGTGCTTGTAAGGGTGAAGACTCTGTATGAGATTCTTAGTCATAGAGAGTCTTTGTGCACTGGTTTTCCCTGGTGCTGGTTATAGTTGTCATATTCTTGCTGTATGGGTGAGTTTACTCTCTTTTATGAAGTTGAGATGACAGAGATCTCTTGAAGCTTATCTCATTCTCTTGTAGTATACAGTGTATTTATTTATTTAACTTTTCCCCAGTGTTTTACTTACTGAGTTGATTCAGGTTTTAGGTCAATCAGAGAGAATCCCTGTGGGGCACCAGTTGTGCCTAAGGAAGGTGGGTAGATGTAATACCCAATGATGGGCTGAGGTCCCCGCCTTGATGATGGTGGCTGAGGGAGCTCTTAGTTAAATGTGCTGAAGTTTTATCAGGATGGAGAGTGTGAACTACCTCAGCTCCCCTGCTAGGTCAGCAGGAAAGCTATTCACCTCACAGCCTCACTCCTGTTCTAGTGTTTCAGCTATTCAGATAAGACAGGAACCTCTTTTCTTGTATAAAAATGTTGATGTTCCAAGCAGGGAGGAATCATCACTCTGCCTTTCATGTGGCCTGAATCTGAAGTGTGTTCCTCCTGTGGGGCTGCACTCACCATGGATTGTTCCAGAAAAGCTGTCTGTAAGTGCCTCCATGCTGCAATCTTGTTGGGGAAGCCCCAGTTGTGCCGGCAGTGGAACGCCACAGGGGATAAAGGACCCCTTCTCCAAAGCCTTTCACAATCACAGAGGCTGCTTGACTGTTGCAGTATAGGTGCAGACTTTCCCTACTGTGCCCAGCACTGCAGTTGTGTCTCTGCTCTGATAAACTACCCTCTAGTGGAAAGATATGGAACTCAAGTCCTGCTGTTCAGATTATTTTGTCCCACGAGGTAATCCCTTGATGTGGTGCTCTCCCCTTCCCCTAGGGGTGGAGCTTCCTGAGAGCCAGACTGAAGTGATTATTATTGCCTTTCTGGGTCTAGCCACCAAGCAGGGCTACCTGGCTCCCTGCTGGTGCTGGGGACTGTCTGTAAAGTCTTGTGATGTGATCCATCTTCAGGTCTCCCAGCTAGAACTGCTCTTGTGGATGTGGCAGGAGAGTGAATTAGACTGTGAGAATCCTTGGTTGTAAATATATTTAGTGTGCTAGCTTTTCTGAATGCTGGTTATCCTAGCAGTGAAGTTGTCACGTTTACAGACTCAGGACCTCTGGTTAGCCAAGATGTTGCGGGCAGTGGTATTAGATGTTGCTTTTTCCTTCCCAGGAGCAGAGTTATTCTGTCATGAGTTGTTATAATGGCCTGAGTTGCCTTTAGCCAAGAGGTGGCACTTTCCAGAGAACACCAGTTGCAGTAGTAGCAGTGGAATATAAGCTTTTCTTAAGTTGGCCAGAGTAGTAATTCTGGTTTCTCAGGTGATGGGTGGGGCCATAAAGCTCCCAAGAGTGTATATCTTTTGTGTGTGGCTACTAGGTCAGGTAGAGAAATACTATCAGGCTGGGGTAGGGTTAGGTGGGTCTGGGTTCAGACTCTCTTTGAATGGGGCTTGCAGTGGCCACTGTGGGGGATGGGGACATGCTTATTACACCAAAGGGATTCTGTTCCAGAGGGGATTGGGATTATGTCTGCTTCTGCTGTGGCATATAATTAGTCAGGGAAATGGGGGATAGCTGGTAGTGAAAGGCCTCACCCTGTATCCATGTAATTGGTGAGACCAGTCTCACTCCCACAGTGCCCCACTAACAGCGCCAAGTTTAGATTCAGGCAGCTTGTATGTGGAACTCAAACCTGCCTCAGGCCACAAACTTCTCTGCTGAGCAAGGAAGCTTGGCTTCCAGGCCTTGCCTCTCCCTGTCTGTCCACAATATCAGTGGCAGCTCCTGTGCTAGTATCTACATCAGTTTCCATTTATCCACAGAATCTTCTAAAAAATGTTTGTGCCCAGTGGAAATTATTACAAAATTTATTTGGAAGCTTCTTACACACTGTTACACCTCCCTAATTCCACTGAGTGTGCTCACCAAAGGCCCCAATGAGAGAGTCAGGGATGGCTTCCCTAGGCTTGAGCTGGAGAATGAGAGTGCCAATAAGGCTCTTTCTGCTGCAGCTTCTACTTTTATATTTTATGCAGTTCTCTAAATTCATTCTACCTCTAGGTAAGGTTAAATCCTTCTCTTGTGATCTGGATTTTTAGATTCCCCAGTGAGGACGTGTGTTCAAGTGCAGCTTTTCCCCTTCTCACACTTGGGGAACTCACGGTTTTTCACCCGTCTCAGAATTTGCAGCAGCTTGCCACTTCTTTCAAAAGATCTGTGAATTCTTTCAGTTTTTCTGGTATGTTTCCACAGTGGTTCTTAGAGTAAAAGTTCCTGGTGTGAGTTTCCACACACTGTTTTTTGTTTGTTACCTGCACATTAGCCCTGTCTCCTCTCTGCCACCTTCCCTCAGCATTCTTTTCTAGACTTTTAGAAAATTATTTAGTTAAAAATTGTCTGTTTTTCAGCAATTTTGAAATATATGACACGTTCACTGTGGTCATAATGCAGTGCAATAAATAACTAAAGTTTGTACTTTTAGTCTAACTGAGAATTTTTACAGTTTGATAAACATATTCCATTTCCTCATCCCTCCCCTTCCTCCTAACCTCTGGCAACCATCTTTCTAAAATATTTTTTATATACCTCATTCTCTTCACCTCCTTAATTTACAAGTGTTTTAATGCTACCTGTCTTTCAAAGTCTAAATAAAGTGTGCTTTCTATACAAAGTATTCCATGATCTCTTTAACAAGCAGTGATCTCTTCTTCGTTTGAATTTACACAGCTTTATATTTGTAACCATTACTTCTGGCACTTCTCAGTATACGTTTTCAGTATAACGAACTTTATAAATGTTTTTTCTCAGCAGACACAGTGGCTCACGCCTGTAATCTCAGCACTTCGGGAGGCCAAGGCAGGTGGATCACCTGTCAGGAATTCAACACCAGCCTGTCCAACATTGTGAAACCCCATCTCTACTAAAAATAAAACAATTAGCTGGGTTTATGGTGCGTGCCTGTAGTCCCAGCTAGTAAGGAGGCTGAGGCCCGAGAATCATTTGAACTCAGGAGGCAGTGTTTGCAGTGAGTTGAAATTGCAACACTGCATTCCAGCCTAGGCAACAATGAGGCTCCATCCAAAAAAAAAAAAAAATAGCTTTTCTTCTCAAATCTACTGCAGACTCCTAGAAGGCAAGGGCTGTAGCTTACCAAAATTAAAATGAAATTGTCCAAGCTCCTGAAATGTTTTATTATTATGGCTTTTTTATTACAATAAAATATACATAACATTTACCATATCAACCATTTTGAAGTGTTCATTTAAAGCAGCATTAAGAATATTTATGTTTCTGGGCACAGTGGCTCATGCCTGAAGTCGCAGCACTTTGGGAGGCCAACCTGGGTGTACCATTTGAGGTCAAGAGTTTGAGATCAGCCTGACCAACATGGTGAACGCTGCCTCTAATAAAAATACAAAAATTAGCTAGGCATGGTGGGCATCTGTAGTCCCAGCTACTCAGGAGGCTGAGGCAGGATAATCGCTTTAACCTGGGAGGCAGAGGTTGCAGTGAGCCGAGATCATGCCACTGCACTCCAGCCTGAGTGAGAAAGCAAGACTCTGTCAAAAAAATAAATAAACAAAAATAAAGCATATTTATGTTACTGAACAGTCATGAGCCTTATACACCTTCAGAATGTTTTCTTCATCCATAATATAAACTCTGTACCTATTTCACAATAACTTCCAATTTTCTTCTCCCCTTAGTTTGTAGAACCCTCTATTCTATTTTATGACTCTATGAATTTGCCTATTCTCAGTACATCATGTAAGTGGAATAATACAATAGTTACCCCTTTGTATCTAGTTTTTGTTTTTCATTTAACATAATGATTTTAATGCTTATCCATGTAGTAGCATGTATCAGAATTCTATTTCATTTTAAGGCTGAATAATATTCCATGGTGTGTGTATACTACATACTGTTTATCTATTTATCCATTTATTAACGTTTAGGTTGTCTCTAACTTTTGACTAATGTAAATAATGCTGATATAAACATTGCTATATACATGTTTATTGAAAGCCTTGCTTTTAATTCTTTTGGTTATATACTTAGAATTTTGGAATTATATGATAATTATATATTGATATTTTTTGAAACCACCATAACTTTTTTGCCTAATTACCCTGGCTAAAATTTTGAACACTATGTTAAATAAAGTTAGTGAAAGTAAGTATCCTTCTCTTATTCCTCATCTGAGGGAAACAGATGCCAGAATTTTATTATTTAGTATGATGTTAGCTGTGGGTATTTAATATATATGTTTTGTTAGGTTGAGAACCTTCCATTCATTTCTAGTTTGTTGAGTGTGTTTATCATGAAAGGATATTAACTTTCAACAATTTTTTCTGCTTTCATTAAAGTTACCATATGATTTTTCCTTCATTCTGTGGATGTCATGTATCACATCTGTTGATTTTCATATGTTGAACCAATCTTGCATCACAGGGATAAATGTCGCTTGATCGTGGTGCATTATTTTTTGTTGTGTAGTTGTTAAAATTGCTAGTATTTTGCTAAGAATTTTTGCACGTATGTTTGTCAGGGATACTGGCCTACAATTTTTTCTTTCTCTTTTGTCCTTGTCTAATTTTGGTATCAGGGTAATACTATCCTTGTAGAATAATTATGGAAAACTTTTGCTCCTTCAATATTTTGAAATAGTTTGAGGAGAACTGGTGGTAGTTCTTTGAAATTTTGTTAAAATTTGACAGTAAAGTCATTCTGTCCTGAACTTTGGTTTGCTGGTAGATTTATTACCAAATCAATCCTATTACTTATTACTGGTCTGCTCAGATTGTCTATTTCTTCCTGATTAAGTCTTGACAGGTTATATGTGTCCAGAAATGTACCCATTTCCTCAAGGCTTTCTAATTTTTTGGTGTGTTGCTGTTCATAATAGTCTCTGATGATCTTTTGTATTTCTCAGCTATCAGTTGCAATTCTGTCTTTTAACTTTTAATTTTGTTTATTTGGGTCTTCTGTTCCATTTTCTTGGCAAGTTTAGGAAGCAGTTTCTTAATTTTGTTTATTTTTTAAAATAACCTACTTTCCATATATTTGTACAGTTTTGCAAATTTCTTTTGTTTTTTATTTCTAATTTTATTCCATTGTGTTATGAGAAACTATTTAATATAATTTCATTTTTTCATTGTATTGAAACATGTTTTGTGTTGTATGATAAAAATATGGTTTATCATGGTTAATGTCCCATGTGCAGACACAGAGACTGTGTATTACATAGCTGTTGAATGAAATGTTTTCTAAATGTTGCTTATGTCCACTGGGTCTAAGGTGCAGTTTAAGTCCAAAGTTTCTTTTTTAATTTTCTGTCTAAATAATTTGTATAATGCTGAGCATGGGGTTTTGAAGAACTCAACTATTACTGTATTGGAATCTATGCCTCTTTTTAGAGATAATAATATTTAATTTATATGACTATGTACTCCAGTACTGGGTGAATGTAAGTTTAGAATTGTTATATCCTGTTGCTGTTGCTGAATTCATCCCTATATCATTATATAATGACCTCCTTCATTTATTTTTAGTTTTCTTCTAACAGTGTGTTACTTCTGCTCACCTTCGGCTTTCATTTGCGTGTAATATATTTCTCCTTCTCTTTGCTTCAGTTTGTATTTGTTTATACAAGTCAAATAAGTTTCTTGAAGGCTGCATATTGTTGGGTCTTGGGTTTTTTTGTAATCTATATAGCTAATATACCTTCTGTAGTAGAAAGTTTAATCTGTTTATATTCAAGGATATTACTGATTGATACGTGAATGCTAATTTCTGTGATTTCATTAATTAATTTCTCGTTGTTTTGTGTGTCTTTTATTCTTTTCTATGCCTTTTTACTGTTCATCATGTACTTTGGTGATATTCTGTAATGGTGACATGTGAGGTTTTTTTCTATTTCTTGTTTGTGTGTTTGCTCTACCAGTGTCTTCTATAATTTTTTGTTTTCATGATGGTCATTATCATTTTTCAAAAATTATTTGCTTTCTGGTATAGGACAACCTTAATCATTTCTTGCAGTCCCAGTGTAGTGGAGACTAATTTCTTTACCTTTTTCTTGCCTGGGAAAAACTTTGTTTCTCCTGTGTTTGTAAATGATAATTTGGCTGCATATGATATCTTCATCTGGGAAGTTTTTCTCTTTCTTTTGTCACTTTAAATATATCATCCTTTTCTTTCCTGGCCTGTACATTTTCTTCTGAGAAGTCTGCTTTTATTTTGATGGAGGTTGTCTTATAGGTGACTATATGCTGTTTTTAGAATTATCTCTGTGTCTTAGACTTTTGACAGGTTGACTATAATATGTCATGGAATAAATTTTTGTTTTTGTTTTTTTCATTGTATCTGCTTGGGAATGTCTTAGTCCCCTGTATCTGGATGTCTTAATTTCTTGCAAGACTTGAGAAATATTCAGTTTCTATTTTGTTACATGGGTATTCTGTTTGTCTTCTAGAACTCTGAAAATTCCAATTTTGATTTTTTATGGTATTCCATATGTAACATAGGCTTTGCTCATTCTTTGTTATTCTTCTTATTATTAGTATTATTGTTGCCTGACTGGATTGTTTCAAAAGACCTTTCTTTACATTGTGGGATTTTTTTTTTATTCTGCTTAATCTAGTGCATTGATAAACCTTTTGATTGCATTTTGAATTTTGTTCAATAAATTCTTTAGTTTCAGAATTTCTATTTGTTTTTTAAAGACATCTGTCTCTTTAGTAATTTTCTTATTCATTCCCTGAATTGTTTTATGGATTTCCTTGTATGTTTTTCTGTATTCTCTTATATCTCACTGAGCTTTTTTAGTATCATTATTATTTTATTATTATTATACTTTAAGATTTAGGGTACATGTGCACAATGTGCAGGTTAGTTACATATGTATACATATGCCATGCTGGTGTGCTGCACCCATTAACTCGTCATTTAGCATTAGGTATATCTCCTAATGCTCTCCCTCCCCCCTCCCCCAACCCCACAACAGTCCCCAGAGTGTGATGTTCCCCTTCCTGTGTCCATGTGTTCTCATTGTTCAATTCCCACCTATGAGTGAGAACATGCGGTGTTTGGTTTTTTGTCCTTGCGATAGTTTACTGAGAATGATGATTTTCAATTTCATCCATGTCCCTACAAAGGACATGAACTCATCATTTTTTATGGCTGCATGGTATTCCATGGTGTATATGTGCCACATTTTCTTAATCCAGTCTATCCTTGTTGGACATTTGGGTTGGTTCCAAGTCTTTGCTATTGTGAATAGTGCCGCAGTAAACATACGTGTGCATGTGTCTTTATAGCAGCATGATTTATAGTCCTTTGGGTATATGCCTAGTAATGGGATGGCTGGGTCAAATGGTATTTCTAGTTCTAGATCCCTGAGGAATCGCCACACTGAATTCCACAATGGTTGAACTAGTTTACAGTCCCACCAACAGTGTAAAAGTGTTCCTATTTCTCCACATCCTCTCCAGCACCTGTTGTTTCCTGACTTTTTAATGATTGCCATTCTAACTGGTGTGAGATGGTATCTCATTGTGGTTTTGATTTGCATTTCTCTGATGGCCAGTGATGGTGAGCATTTTTTCCTGTGTTTTTTGGCTGCATAAATGTCTTCTTTTGAGAAGTATCTGTTACTCCTCTGACAAAGGGCTAATATCCAGAATCTACAATGAACTCAAACAAATTTACAAGAAAAAAACAAACAACCCCATCAAAAACTGGGCAAAGGACATGAATAGTATCATTATTTTGTATTTTTTTCAGATTTTACAAATTCTGTTTCATTGGGATCTGTTGATGAAGAACTTTTGTGTGCCTTTGAAGGTGTCATATTTCTTTGTTTTTAAATGTTTCTTGTTTATTTACTTTGATATCTACACACCTGGTGTAACAGTCACTTATTCCAAATTCTTTAATTTGCTTTTATAGGGGAGGACTGTTTTTTTGAAAATGTATCTATGACGTTGGTTTGGTAAGACACTTTGGCTTTTATTCTGGTGCATGCAGTAACGTAGTATTGGTATAATTTTTTTTGTGTGTAGTAGACATTATCAGTGGTTTCCGTGTTTTCCTCATTGGCTTAAGTTGTGATTGGTAGTGGAGGCTGTGGTAAAATTTTTCTGGGGATTTGAATGCCTGTTGGGCCAGTCTTCTGTCTCCAATGGTGGTAACAGTGGGCTGAGTGCAACAGTCCTTGAGCTTCAGAGTAGCATATGCTGGCACCAGTGTTAATGGGCTCTGGCATGCTGATTCTTGAGCCTCTAGATGGCTAGCTTTGGTGCTGGGAAGGTCAGTGGTTGCCCAGTTCTTGGGCCTGCAAGTAAGTGGTGCATGCTAGTGGTTGCCAGTTATGTTGGTAGTGGAGTAATGGCAAGTTTAGTAGCACAAACCAGAGACATTAGAAGAAGTGCCAAGGTATCCACAGTGGTGGAATAGTTTGGGTGATTTTCAGGCACCTGGAGCTTGTGCTTGGGCACTGGGAGGTGGGTGTTTTCAGGTTAGGTGACTCTACCCTTAGACTCTATAGTGGTGCTTGCATATACTGGCTGTGGTAGGCATATGCAAGGTAATCCACAGGCCCCAGAAGAATGTTAATGCTAGAGTAGCAGCAGGCATGCTATGACCTTGCTACTGAGGAAAGCAGGGTTGCTTTCAAAGGTAGAAGATATAGGCAAGAGGCTGGAGAGTGCATGCTTTACCTGTGCCTCAGTCCACCATCAGCTAACAATGGAGGTAGTTGCAAGCAGTAGCATTTCTCTTGGGAGGCATAAAAATGCATATCCTTTCCTCTGCTTCGGGAGGCAGGGTCTCTGCCAGTGGCTCCTGCCTCTGCCCTGGTGGTAGTGGTTGTGGACGGTGAATGTCAGGGATGTGGAGATGCAGAGGCTTTTAAGCCTCAGGCCAGAAAGTATTTTGGTGGAGGCTGGGCTCTCAATATACATTCTACTGCAGCTGCTTAGGACTCAAGAGTTTGTGGGACTCAGTGTGAGCCATTTTTGTGTACTGTGGCATATCACTAAATCCTATTTATTAAAACTACTTTGTCAATCTATGCCTTATAATTGAGGAATTCAATTTATTTATGCATATTTAAAGTAATTACTGGAGGTGAGGCAAGATGACAGAACAGAAGGCTCTATCAATCATCTCCCCAAACAAGGACACCAATTTAACAATTATCTACACAATAAAAGCACCTTTATAAGAACTAAAACTCAGGTGAGCACTCACAGTATCCAGTTTTAAGTTCATATCTCTAAAAGCGGCACAAAGGAGGTATTAGGAACAGTCTCAAATCACCAACATCTCTCCTGCCCCATGCCTCGACAGCATTGTTGTGTTGTGGACAGCATTTCTGTGTGTTGACAGATGGAGAACAAAGCAATCGAGAGGCATTGAACTCAGTGTTGTCCTGTTATAGGGGAAAAGACAACTAGATCAAACTCAGTTGAAACCAGCCCACGGAAGGAACATTTAAACTAGCCCTAGCCCTCTCTATGATAATCCCAGCAGTGGAAACTTGAGTTATCAAAAGCCTTGCCACTGTGGGTTAAAGTGCTGTGGGGCCCTAATAAACTTGAAACACAATCTAGGTCTTAAGGACGTCAACTTTTAGGTGAGTGCTAGTGCTGAACTGGTCCCAGAAACAGTAGACTGAGGGGGCATGTGACCTACAGAGACGTTAGATAGGCTGACTAAAAGAGTGCTAGCATCAAACCTTCCCTAACCCTAGGCTTCATAGCTCACAACTTTAAAAGACATTCTTTCTTTCTGCTTGAGGAGAGGAGAGGGCAGAATAGAGAAGAATTTGTTTTGCATCTTGGATACCAACTCAGCCACAGCAGTATAGAGCACCAGTATGAGTTGTGAGCCTACTTTCCAGTCCTTAGCTCCTAGAAGACATTTCTGGACACAACCTGGTCCAGAAAGAAACCTGTTGCCTTGAAGGGAAAGACCCAGTCCTGGCATAATTTGTCACCTGCTAACTGAAGAACCCTTGGGCCAAGAATAACCAGCAGTGATACTCAGGTATTACATCCAGGGCCTTGGCTGAGGCTCTGAGATTTTCTGGCTTCAGGTGAAACTCAGCATATTTCCAGTTGATGGTGGTTATGGGGTGAGACTCTTTCTGCTTGAGAAAAGAAGAGAAAAAAAATAAAGGGAACTTCTTCTTTGCAACTTAGGTACCAGCTCAACCACAGAGGGTAGAGCACTAAGCAGGTGTTTGGGGTTCCCAGTTTTAGAACTTGGCTCTTGGACATTTCTGGGCCAGAGGGAAACCTTCTTCCCTGAAGGATGAGTCCCAGCAAAGCAGCATTCAACACAAGCTGACTCAAGAGCTTTTAGGCATAAAGGGAACATTGGCAGTAGTCTGGCAGAACTCGCTGTGGCCCTTGGTGGTGGTGGCTATGGAGTTAGGTCCCTCTGCCTTTGGAAAGGGGAGGAAAGAAAAGCATGGGAAGAACTGTATCTTGTGGTTTGAGTGCCAGCTTAGCTGCTATACATAGAACACAGGTAGATGGCTATAAGTTTTTGACTCTAGTCCCTGACTCCTGAATGGTACCTCTGTATTCACCTGGTACCTGGGAAAACTCACTACCCTGAAAGAGAGAACACAGGCCTGGCCCACTTTGCCACATGCTTATTGAAGAGCCCTAGGCCCTTGAGCAACGTAGGCAGTAGCTAGAGAGTAATTACAACAGGCCTTGAGAGAGATTCAGTGCTGTGCTGACTTCAGGCCTGACCCAGCTAGTTATGGTGGCCACAAGGGTGCTTATGTCACTCCAACCCCAGCTCCAGGTGACTCAGAAAAGAGAGAGAGACACCATTTTGTGAGGGAGAAAGTAAGGAAAGAGAACAAGAGTCTCTGGCTTGTAATCCAGATAATTCTCCTGCATATTCTTTAAAATTATTAAGGTGGTACCTCTATGAGTCTGCAAAAACCACAGCATTACCTGGCTTCGGGTGCCCTGTAAAGTAGATATAGCTGAGATCACAACACCCAAGTCTTTTTGAATATGTGGAAAGCCTTCCCAAGTGTATAAATGAATGAGTACAAATGAGCACAAACAGTAAAGACTGCAATAAATATCTAATTCTTCAATGCCTAGACACAAATGAACACGTACAAGTGTCAAGACAATCCAGGGAAAAAATGACTTTACCAAAGGAAGTAAAATAAGGTATCAAGGAAGAATCTGGGTGAAACAGTAATATGTGACTTTTTAGACAAAGAATTAAAAAAAATTGTTTTGAAGAAACTCAAGAAAATTCAAGATAACACCTAGAAGAAATTCAGAATTCTATCTGAAAAATATAACAAAATGGCTAAAATAATTTAAAAAAATCAAGCAGAAACTCTGGAACTAAAAAATGCAATTGGAGAACTAAAGTATGCATCAGAGAGTCTTTTTTTTTTAACTTTAAGTTCTGGGATACATGTGCAGAACGTGCAGGTTTGTTACGTAGGAATATGTGCACCATGGTGGTTTGCTGCATCTATTGACCCATCGTCTAAGTTTTCTCCCCTCACCACCCACCCCCCAACAGGCCCTGGTGTGTGTTGTTCTTCTCCCTGTATCCATGTATTCTCATTGTTCAACTCCCACTTATGAATGAGAACATGCAGTGTTTGGTTTTTTGTTCCTGTGTTAATTTGCTGAAGATGATGGCTTCCATCTTCATCCATGTCCCTGCAGAGGACATGATCTCATTTGTATGGCTGTGTAGTATTCCACAGTGTATATGTACCACATTTTCTTTAACCGGTCTATCATTCATGGGCATTTGGGTTGGTTCCATGACTTTGCTATTGTAAGTAGTGCTGCAATAAACATATGTGTGCGTGTGTCTTTATAGTAAAATGATTTATATTCCTTTGGATATATACCCACTAATGGGATTGCTGGGTCAAATGGTGTTTCTGGTTTGCAATCCTTGAGGAATTGCCATATTGTGTTCCACAATCATTGAACTAATTTACATTTCCACCTACAGTGTAAACACATTCCTATTTCTCCATAGCCTCACCAGCATCTATGGTTTCCTGACTTTTTAATAATCGTCATTCTGTCTGGCGTGAGATGGTATCTCAATGTGGTTTTCATTTGCATTTCTTTGATGTTCAGTGATGTTGAGCTTTTTTCATATGTTTGTTGGCTGCATTTATGTCTTCTTTTGAGAAGTGTCTGTTCATACCCTTTGCCCACTTTTTGATGGGGTTTTTTTTTTATTGTAAATATGTTTACGTTTCTTATCAATTCTGGCTATTAGACCTTTATCAGATGGGTAGATTGCACAAATTTTCTCCCATTCTGTAGGTTGCCTGTTCACTCTGATGATAGTTTCTTTTGCTGTGCAGAAGCTCTTTAGTTTAGTTAGATCCCATTTGTAATTTTGGCTTCTTTTACAATTGCTTTTGGCATTTTCGTCATGAAGTCTTTGCCCATGCCTATGCCTGAGTGGTATTGCCTAAGTTTTATTCTAGGGTTTTTATGGTTTCGGGTTTTACATTTAAGTATTTATTCCTTCTTGAGTTGATTTTTGTATAAGGTGTAAGGAAGAGGTCTGTGTTTCAGTTTTCTGCATATGGCTAGCCAGTTTTCCAAGCACCATTTATTGAATAGGAGATCTTTTCCCCATTGCTTGTTTTTGTCAGGTTTGCCAAAGATCAGATGGTTTAGATGTGTGATGTTATTTCTGAGGTCTTTGATCTGTTCCATTGGTCTATATGTCTGTTTTGATATAGGTATAATGCTGTTTTAGTTACTGTGGCCTTGTAGTGTAGCTTAAAGTCAGCTAATGTGATGCCTCCAGCTTTGTTCTTTTTGCTTAGGATTGTCTTGGCTATACAGTGTCTTCTTCGATTCCGTATGAAATTTAAAGTAGTTTTTTCTATTTCTGTGAAGAATGTCAATGGTTGTTTGATGGGAATAACATTAAATCTATAAATTACTTTGGGCAGTGTGGCAATTTTTACGATATTGATTCTTCTTATCCATGAGGATGAAATGTTTTTCCATTTGTTTATGTCCTCTCTTGTTTCCTTGGGCAGTAGTTTGTAGTTCTCCTTGAAGAGGTCTTTCACATCCCTTGTTAGCTATATTTCTAGGTATTTTATTCTCTTTGCAGAGATTGTGAATGGGAGTTTATTCGTGATTTGGCCTTCTGCTTGACTATTTTTGGCGTAAAGAAATGCTTGTGATTTTTGCACATTGATTTTGTATCCTGAGACTGCTGAAGTTGCTTATCAGCTTAAGGAGATATTGGGGTTAAAGAGATGATGGGGTTTTCTAAATATAAAATCATGTCATCTGCAAACAGAGGCAATTTGACTTCCTCTATTCCTATTGAATACCCCTTATTTTTTTCTCTTGTCTGATTTCCCTGGCTGCAACTTCCAATACTATGTTGAATAGGAGTGGTGAGAGAGGACATCCTTGTCTTGTACCGGTTTTCAAAAGAAATGCTTCCAGCTTTTTCCCATTCAGTATGATATTGACTGGGGGTTTGTCATGAAAGTTCTTATTATTTTGAGATATGTTTCATCAATACCTAGTTTGCTGAGAGTTTTTAACATGAACGCCTTCTTTGCATCTGTTAAAATAATCATGTGCTTTTTGTTTTTGGTTCTGTTTATGTGATGGATTTTGTTTGTTGATTTGTGTATGTTGAACCAGGCTTGCATCCCAGGGATGCGGCCGACTTGATTGTAGTGGATAAGTTTTTTGATTTGCTGCTAGATTTTGTTTGCCAGTATTTTATTGAGGATTTTTGAATCAATGTTCGTCAGGGATACTGGCCTGAAGTTGTCTTTTTTTGTTTTGTTTCTGCCAGGGTTTGGTATCAGGAAGATGCCGGCTTCATAAAATTAGTTAAGGAGGAGTTCCTCCTTTTTAATTATTTGGAATAGCTTCAGAATGAATGGTACCAGCTCCTCTTTGTACCTCTTATAGAATTTGGCTGTGAATCCGCCTGGTCCTGGGCTTTTTTTGGTTGGTAGGCTATTAATTACTGCTTTAATTTTAGAATGTGTTATTGGTCTATTCAGGGATGTGACTTCTTATTGGTTTAGTATTGGGAGGGTGTATGTGTCCAGGAATTTATTCCTTTCTTCTAGATTTTCTAGTTTATTTGTGTAAAGGTGTTTATAATATCTCTGATGGTAGTTTGTATTTCTGTGGGGTCAGTGGTGCTATCCCCTTTATCATTTTTTTATTGTGTCTATTTGATTCTTCATTTTTTCTTCTTTATTAGTATAGCTAGTGGTCTATTTGCTTTTTTTTAAAAAAAAACCTGGATTTATTGATTTTTGCAGGGTTTCTGTATCTCTATTTCCTTCAATTCTTCTCTGATCTTAGTTATTTCTTGTCTTTTGCTAGATTTTGGATTACTTTGCTCTTGCCTCTCTAGCTCTTTTAATTGTGATGTTAGAGTGTCGATTTGAGATCTTTCCCACTTCCTCCTGTGGGCAATTAGTAGCAAAAATTTCCGTCTTAACACAGCTTTAGCTGTGTGCCAGAGATTCTTGTACATTGTTGCTTTGTTCTCATTGGTTTCGAAGAACTTTTTTATTTCTGCCTTAATTTTGTTACTTAAACAGTAGTCATTCAGGAGCAGGTTGTTCAATTTCCAAGTAGTTGTGCAATTTTGAATGACTTTCTTAATCCTGAGTTCTAATTTGATTGCACTGTGGTTGACAGACAGTTTGTTATGATTTCCATTCTTTTGCATTTGCTGAGGAGTAAGTGTTCTACTTCCAATTATGTGATCGATTTTAGAATAAGTGCTATGTGGCACTGAGAAGAATGTATATTATGTTGATTTGGTGTGGAAAGTTCTGTAGATATCTACTAGGTCCATTTGGTCCAGAGCTGAGTTCAAGTCCTGAATATCCTTGTTAATTTTCTGTCTCGTTGATCTGTCTAATATTGACAATGGGGTGTTAAAGTCTCCCACTATTATTGTGTGGGAGTCTAAGTCTCTTTTTAGGTCTCTAAGAATTTGTTTGATAAATCTGGATGCTACTGTATTGGGTGCATACATATTTAGAATAGTTAGTCCTTCTCGTTGAATTGTTCCCTTTACCATTATGTAATGCTCTTCTTTGTCTTTTTTGATCTTTGCTGGTTTAAAATCTGTTTTGTCAGAGGTTAGGATTGCAACCCCTGAATTTTTTTTTTTTTTTTTTTTTTTTTTTTTTGCTTTCCATTTGCTTGGTAAATTTTTCTCCATCTTTTTATTTTGAGGCTATGTGTGTCTTTACATGTGAGATGAGTCTCCTGAATACAGCACACCAATGGATCTTGACTCTATGCAATTTGTCAGTCTGTGCCTTTTAATTGGGGCATTTAGACCATTTACATTTAAGGTTAATACTGTTCTGTGGGAATTTGATTCTGTCATCATGGTGCTATCTGGTTATTTTGCACAGTAGTTGATAAAGTTTCTTCATAGTGTCACTGGTCTTTATATTTTGGTGTGTTTTTGCAGTGGTTGGTACTGGTTTTTCCTTTCCATATTTAATGCTTCTTTCAAGAGGTCTTGCAAGGAAGGCACGGTGATAACAAAATCCCTCAGCATCAGCTTGTCTGGAAATAATTGTATTTATCCTTTGCTTATGAAGATGACTTTGGATGGATACGAAATTCTGGGTTGAAAATTCTTCCCTTTAAGAATGTTGAATATTGGCCCACAATCTCCTCTGGCTTGTAGAGTGTGTTCTTCAGCTGCTGGATCAAATATTATGTAAATATCTATTAGATCCATTTGGTCTACCATGCAGAATAAGCCTAAAGTATTATAAATCATTCTACTATAAAGACACATGCACAAGTGTGTTTATTGCAGCACTATTCACAATAGTAAAGACTTGGAAGTAACCCAATGATAGACTGGATAAAGAAAATGTGGCACATTTACACCATGGAATACTATGCAGCTGTAAGAAAGGATGAGTTCATGTCCTTTGCAGGGACATGGATGAAGCTGGAAACCATCATTCTCAGCAAACTAACACAGGAGCAGAAAACCAAATACCGCATGTTCTCACTCATAAGTGGGAGTTGAAGAATGGGAACATATGGACACAGGGAGGTGATCATCACTCACTGGGTCCTATCGGCGGGGTGGGGTCTGGGGGAGGGACAGCATTAGGAGAAATACCTAATGTAGATGATGGGTTGATTGATGGGTGCAGCAAACCGCCATGGCACGTGTACACCTATGTAACAAACCTGCACATTCTGCATGTGTCCCAGAACTTAAAGTAATATAATAAAAAATATATATATTTTGTGGTTCCAGAATTCTTACACTGGTTCCTGCTCATCTGGACATGGCAGAATTTCTAATTCTCATATTCATTTTCATGTGGACAAATATTTTCTTTATTCCCCGTGATATTTTGACTTTATTTTCTTGTCTTTCTTCCATCCCCAGGTTATGTGACTGTAATGTCGGGTAGGAAATTTTGGCTCTGCTTCTGTAGGGCTAAGCATTTTTGTTGAGAGGTTTTATATTGTGCTGTAAGGTTTCACATACAAGCCAGTAGGTGGCCCTTATAGGTAGGAGTTGGCAGCAGCGAAAATGGGTGAGTACATACTTGATCCTTGTTCACTGAGAGAATCTTTGTGTTCTTTTAGGCATGGGCTGATCCTTGGAGTGTGTAGTGGCTACTGTTGGCAGTTAATGCAGGGTATAGCTGTAGCTCCTGGGAGATGGTGGATTAGAGTCTTTTAGCATGACTCAGCCATTTGAAAATATCAAAATAGTACAAAAAGATCAGCTCTGCGAACTTTAATTCAAAAAGTAAATTGGGAATTCCTCAGAGTCATGAAGAACGGCCCAGATCTCAGTGAGGAGACTATGGGGAAATTGACCCTGTGACAACTTCTGATGGAAAAAATTGAGTGAAGTCCCAAAATGTGTGAGAGACAGATAGCTTCTCCCTGTGACTTACCTTTCCACTGGGGATCTAAGCAACTCAGGCCAAAGAAGAGCACTTTGTTTCTCCAAAGCCCTAGAGCTAATTTCCGAAAAGTCTGGGAGATGCTAGGAGCAAAAGTCACTGAGAATAGCTGCAGAAATTTTCCCAGATCTGAGATGGAGAGCACACTATTTTCAGTTTGGGTACATACAAAGTAAGTTATTGGGTGACCCAGGAGTGTGCCCACACAGGCATTTTAGTATTGGGCCACAAAATGATTGCTCTAGAGTAGGGTAGGCACCTTCACAGCCAAAATTGTGGAGAGCTCCACACAAGTAGGTGCTGGAATTGTGCTGTCACTCATCATAGAACTGTGGTGAGCAGAGAACTGCTACAACCACATTTGCTCCTGGGCAATGAGACTTGTGGCCATGGCTGGCTTGGTAACCTAGAACTAGTTTGTGTGTGTCACTGCTGGGTAGCCCAGCCTGCTCCCCTGAGATCGTGGGGCAGTTTTAATTTAACCAAGTTAATTGCTAAAAAGTAAAAATAAAATGAAAGTAAAAATTTTAATAATATTCAAACAAGACCCAGAATAATATACTATAATATTGAAAATGTCCCAAAGGTAATAAATATTACTTAGGTTGCAAAAAATTAATCAAATCTCAAGATCTAAAATGAAAAAATACAGTAAAATACCAATAAAAAGTTTTCAAGATATTGGGCTTATTGTACAAGGGTTTTAGAGCAGCTATTATAATCAAACTCTAAGCGTGTGAGAAAACACACTTAAACTGGAATGACAGAAAACTCTAGCAAAGATACAGAAGTTATAAAAATACCTAAATGTAGTCTGGGCATAGTGACTCACACCTGTAATCCCAGCACTCTGGGAGGCTCAGGCAGGCAGATAACTTTAGCCCAAGAGTTTGAGACTAGCCTGGACAAAATGGCAATACCCCATCTCTATGAAAAATGCAAAGATTAGCCCAGTGTGGTGGCATGCACCTGTACTTTCAGCTATTTGAGAGGCTGAAGTGGGAGGATCACTTGAACTTGGGAGGAGGAGGTTGCAGCAATCCATGATCACATCACTGAACTCCAGCCTGGGTGACAGAGTGACAATTTGTCTCAATATAAAGAAGAAAACAACAAATAAAAGTTTTTGAGCTAAAAATAAAATAACCAAAGTAAAAATTCAGTGGGTGCGCTAAGATAATAAAAAATAAAAAAAAATATAACATCAGTGTTTGTAGAATGCAGCATAGAAATGTGCAGAAGGAAATGTAAGTTGTAAATAAATACATTAGAAAGGAAGAATGGTCTCAAATTAATTTGTTTCCACCTTACAAAACTGAAAAAGTAAAATCAAAATCAACCCAAATCTACTAATAATCTATAAGAAAGTGACATAAGAATAGAAAACAATGAAATTTAACACAGAGAGATACAAAATATCAATGAAACAAAGCACTGGTAATATAAGAAAAGATCCATGAAATGAATAAGCATCTAGAAATATTGATAAAGAAAATCATCAAAGAGAAGACACAGATTATCATTATTAGACATACAAGAGTGACTAACACTAAAGACTACTCACACATTTAAAAAATCATAATAAAATAATAAAAATAACACAACATACATAAATACTATAACATAGGTGGAATAGACCAATATCTTAAAATTCATTAACTGTTAAAAAGAGTAGATAATATTAATAGCTTTCAATCAAAGAAATTAAATCTGTATTTAAACATTACCAGGAAAACTAATCTCCAGTCCAATATGGCTTTACTAAAATTTTCCGTAAAATTCATAAAGGACCCCACAAATTCTATATCTAAAAATCCTCAACAAAATACTAGCAAACAGTATCCAGTAGAACATCAAAAAGTTAATTTACCACAACCAAATAAGCTTTATTCTTTAGATACAAGCCTGGTTCAACATATGCAAATTAATAAATGTGATCACTAAATAAATAGAATTAAAAGCAAAAGCATGTGATTATCTCCAAATATGCAGAAATAAAGCATTGAATAAAATTTAATATCTTTTATGATGAAAACTCTCAATGGACTAAGCATTGAAAGTACATACCTCAAAATAATAAAATACATCTATGACAAACCCACAGCCAACGTCAAGTAATAGTATATAGTAATTTGGTGAAAGGCTGAAACCATTCCTCTTGAGAACTGTGAAAAGACAAGGATACCAACTGTCCCCACTCCTATTCAATGTTATACTGGAGGTTCCAGTCTGAGCAATGAGGCAAGATAAAGAAATAAAAGGCATCCATATAGGAAAAGAAGAAGCCAAATATCTCTCTGCTGATATGATTCTATAACTAGAAAATCTTAAAGACTCCACTACAAGGTTCCTAGATATGATAAACAACTTTGGCAAAGGTTCAGATACAAAATCAAGGTACAAAAATCTGTAGCATTTCTTTACACCACAACATACAAGCCAAAAGCCAAATCAAGACACAGTTCCATTCACAGTAGCCACACACACACACACACACACACACACACACACACAATACCTAGGAGTACAGCTAATCAGGGAGGTGAAAAATCTCTACAATGAGAATTATGGAACACTGCTGAAATAAAATGAAGATGAGACAAAAAGTCCATGCTAACTGATAGGAAAAATCTGTACTGTTAAAATGGCCATTCTGCCAAACACAATTGACAGTTCCAGTGCTATTTCTATCAAACTACCAAAGATATTTTTCAAATAATTGGAAAAAACTATTCTAAATTTCAAACTGAACCAAAAAAAGTGCCTGAATCAATCCTATTCAAAATGATCTTCCTACCTGAATTCAAACTATACTACAAGGCTATAGTAAAAAAATAGCACAGTACCAGTAGAAAAACACACATAAACCAATGAAACAGAATGAAGAACCCAGAAAGAAACCCTACTGTCTACAATCACCTGTCTTTGACAAAGTTGACAAAATCAAGCAACAGGGAAAGGATTAAAAATTCGGTAAATGGTGCTGGCATAACTGACTAATCATATGCAGAAGATTAAAACTAGACCACTTCCTTTCCCCATATGAAAAAAAATCAACAGAATATAAATTAAAAACTTTAAAATATAAAACATAAAACTATAAAATCCCTTGACGATAACCTAGGAAATAACATTCTGGACATAGGACCTATCAAACACGTCATGACTAAGGCTCTGAAAGCAGTTAACGACAAAACCAAAAATTAACAAGTGAGACCTAATTAAATGAAAGAGATTCTGCACAGCAAAAGAAACTACCAACAGTGTAAATGGAAAACCTATAGAATGAAAGAAAATATTTGCAAATGATGCATCCAACAAAGGTCATTATTCAGAATCTGTAAGGAATTTAAACAAATTAACAAGCAAAAATAAACAACCACATTAAAAATTGGGCAAAGGTCATAAACAGACACTTCTCAAGAGAAGACATAAACATGGCCAAAAGGCATATGAAAAAATAATCCCATTAATCATTTGAGAAATGCAAATCAAGGCTAGGCACAGTGGCTCACGCCTGTAATCCCAACACTTTGGGAGGCCGAGGCGGGCGGATCACCTGAGGTCGGGAGTTCGAGACCAGAATGACCAACATGGAGAAACCCCATCTCTACTAAAAATACAAAATTAGCCAGGTGTGGTGGCACATGCCTGTAATCCCAGCTACTCCAGAGGCTGAGGCAGGAGAATCGCTTGAACTTGGGAGGGGAAGGTTGCAGTGAGCCAAGATTGTGCCATTGCACTCCAGCCTGGGTAACAAGAAGCGAAACTCTGCCTCAAAAAAAAAAAAAAAAAAAAAAAAAAAAAAAAGAAAAGAAAAAAGAAAGAAAGAAATGCAAACCAAAACTACAGTGAGATACCATCTCACACCAATCAGAATGGTTATGACAAACTACAAAAAAAAAAAAAAGATTCTGGCAAGGTTGTATAGAAAGGGGAATGCTTACACACTGCTGGTGTCAGTGCTAACTATTTCAACCACTGTTGAAAGCAGTTTGGAGATTTCTCAAAGAAGTTATAAGAAAACTAATATTCACTGCAGCAATCGCATTACTGGGTATATTACACCTAAGAATATAAACATTCTCTCAGCAATATGGTTTGTTCTGTGTCCCCACCCAAATGTTATGTTAAACTGTAATTCCCAGTGTTAGACATGGGGCCTGGTGGGAGGTGTTTGGATCATGAGGGTGGTGATCATGAAAGTTTAACAGCAACCTCCTAGTGCTGTCTCCTGATAGAGTTCCTACAAGATCTGATTCTTTGAAGATGTGTAGCACCTCCCCTTTGACTTTCTCTATCTCTCCTGCCAGCCATGTAAAGACATGCTTGCTTCCCCTTCACCTTCTGCTATGATTGTAAGTTTCCTGAGGCCTCCCCAGCCATGCCTCCTGTATAGCCGAAGGAACTGTGAGTCAATTAAACCTCTTTTCTTCAAAAATTACCCAGTTTCAGGTAGTTTTTTATAGCAGTGTGAGAACAGACTAATACACCCAGAAAGACACATGCACATATATGTTTATTACAGCACTATTCACAATAGCAAAGACATGGAACCCACCTAAATGCCCATTAATGTGGACAGAGTAAAGAAAATATGGTACATATACCCATGGAATACCATAAAAACTGAAAACAAAAAGAAAGCATGCCCTTTGCAGCAACATGAATGGAGCTGGAGATCATTATTGTAAGCCAACTAACACAGGAAGAGAAAGCCAAATACTGCATGCTCTCACTTACAAGTAGGAGGTAAATATTGACTATACATAGATTAAAAGAAAAAAAGGAAGCAATAGAAAATGGGGCCTACTTGATGGTGGAGGGTGAGGGGAGAGTGAAGATTGACAAACTACTTATCAGTTACTATGGCTATTAGCTGGGTGACAAAATAATCTGGACACCAGATATTCAAGACGTGCCATTTACCCATGCAACAAAGCTGCACCTATACCCCCTGAACTTAAAAGAAGAAAATAAAAAGGCAAAAACAAACAAACAAACAACAAAACAAAATAGATGCCATGGTTCTGACTTCTAGACTTAGCTTCTTTATCTAAAAAATTGTGAAGATAAAGATGTTCTCCTTTTTACTTGAATGACAAACACTTAAATCAGGTTATATAATAAAAAAGAAATATTATTACTTTGCATTGGTAGCTTTAAATTTGCAGAACTGCTGGAAATTATTGTCACTTTTCATCTGCCAGAACAAACCTTGGATTTAATGTCAGCATTACCATATTTATTTTGTAAAGGGTATACACTATGAAGTAATATTACTTCAAATAAAAATTATTGATATAAGTCATCTCCTTTGAAGGAAACATACATGATAAAGACATACACTTTTAAAGAATAAAATTATATCTGACTAGATTCTGGTAAAGTCAACTCTTTTAAATATAAGTACGGTAATATGTTTTGCAAAGAAAATGGAAGTTACCCAAATACTGTGTCTCTAGTCAGCATTTTGTGATTAGATTGTGATTCTCTATATTCCTTTATAGTGTAGAAAATTCTCTGTTACATTAATTTTCTCCCTGCAATCCCTTTTAACTAATCCTGGAAAAACTCGGTTTTCCTTTGAGAAAGCACTAATTTTAGTTTTTGTAGCATTATTTTTGAATAATATTACTAATGCAAACCATGGAAGAGGTCATTAGATAGGGTTCATTAAATGATGTTTATAGTGGTTGAAATATAATTCTGTATGTAGTGCATCAGAGACCCTTATCTCCTCCTGTGTTGGAATTGTTTGACTATTCATATCTGAAAACCAGTAATATCTAGATTTGAAAATAATGTCTATAAAAAGTCCTTTGGGTCAATTTGGGCTCTTAAATGAGCACATATTATTTTTGTCAAGGTGTCTTATAAAGACTGCCAAGGTAAGAAAAGACTCACTTTCCATTTGTAAAAAATTATTTATTTCATCCATATTTCAATATTACAATGGCTGGTTTAGCAATGGGTAAGTTTTGGTTTTAGATATAAGTAAATAGGGAGAAGCATTTATTAGCATAACACTTTAATTCTCCTTAATATGATGGTTTTAAGTATAGTTGGCCTAAGATGTTCCCTTCCGAATAAATTAAATGAAAATATTTTAGAGAAAACTGGAACCAGTGTAATCAGGTGGGTAGTGGGTTTACTAATGTGGCCAAAACCCAGCAGAAAATCACCAAACACAAAATGAGTCTGCAGTAAAACAAAAGGATGAATAAATTAAAGGCTTAAAAGTGTGTTTTGGAAAGAGAAGCAGGACCCTAAAAAAATAAACTCGTGTGTCAGAAAGAGTCCCAAATGTTCTGAGGTCTCAAGAAGACAGAAAGTTAACCATCTGAACTAGTAATGTGTCATCATATAAACAATCTTTTATCTATCAGCTGATCGATCAATTATGATCTATTTAAGAACCTTTCTACTAGACTGTGAACTCTGTGGGAGAAGGGAGAGTGCTTGATAATCAACAGCACTAACTGGCCAAAGTAGATTCTCAATAGATAATGACTGTGTTAATCAACTAAAGTCATTATAGTTAAAAAAAAAAAAAGAAAAAAGATGTAGATCATATATTTCAGTACTGTCAGCAAGGTATTAGGCCTTCTCAATGTAATTCCACTCCTAACTTTCCCGTTTAAATATAGCTTACTTCAATACAAACAGTACAGTACTTTGCTAAAGTCAAGTATATTCTGTAGAGTTATCTGATTATTTTTTATGTAAGCCCTGTCTCCCCATAGATTACTGGACCCTTAAAATAACAATAATAATGACAACTATAATTATGACAAAAATAGCCAAAACAGAACATAACTTTGAGCTCTCATGTTGTAATAGAAAATCTTCTAGGCATTTAAAACATATTAACACATCTGATTATCACAAAAACCCTATGATAGGATTATACTATTACCTTTATTTTATAAATGAAGTAAAGGAAGCACAGAGAAGTTAGGTAACATTGTGACGGTTACACACATTTTAAATAGCATGAAGTAAATATGTCTCATTTTTCTGTACTGACAATGTTAAACTTTACCCATTCCCCATGCTCCTAGAAAATAGTGATAATTAGGATACCTTACCGCACTTTTGTTCCGTAAAATGGTTTGCTGAAAATAACTATTCATCTTTACCTGACTTGGATAAGACTCATGGATACTCCCCATTTTTACCTGTGATCAGACACTAACCTTCCAAATTACAATTCTTATAAATGATTAGTTGAACTACTTGTCCACACTGATTAGTTAGAACAAATTGCTTGTTAATGAAACTTTAGACAAAATTATTTCCTTCTCCCAGGGCCTTGAATTTTGAACCAAACTCAGCCTTAGCCAGCATTCAACATCCTCTTTAATGTCTCCTCTCTAGAAAAGGCTGACCTCAGGAAAAAACTTCCTCTGATCTTTCTAATCATTTCTTCTCAACATTTTCATCTCTTATATACCACTAGTGCTTTCTCAAACCCATTTCATTCTATCCTTGTTTACTCCTTCTAAAAACAGAAAAATTCCTTTCCACCCAAATTTGAGATACTTGCAGATCTTATGATCAGATCATTCACACTATTGCAGTAGTTCCTCATCTCTCTATTCCAATAGTCATCTACCTGTTGCAATAATCGTTTTGAAAAGTGTCTCTCTTTGTCTGTGTGAATTTTTTATTTGATTGTACCTGACACAATAGTACCTAGCATATGATAGATTGTTAACACATACAAATTGAAGTTTCAATAAAAATAAGAAATATTTAAATGCTTTTGCTGTACCTTCTTCAAGTTATTCTTATTGTACATAACAAAACAAAAATTAGAAAAAAAAAAAACAAGAAATTTCACCTATATTTTTCTAGTCAGTTTGCCAAATCACATTCATCTTCTCCCTTTAATGATTCTTAAATTACTCCAAGATTTTTAGACAAATTTTGAATCTTCCTGCCATTGTCTCTTAAAATAAATTACACTTTGTCGTATATGATAGTTATATATGAACACGTTTTTCCTTCCTGTGTTTACCAGAAGTTTTGTGAGAGTAAGATAAGTGCCTCTGTCATTTTGGGGTAAGAATCCATATTGCTTACTATACAGCAGAGAAGGTCTGCAGTCGCACTGAGTTCAACAACTATCATGGGTGATGTTCTAAAGCTGCATAAGTAACTGAGAAGAGACACATCTTGATTTTATGGTTAATTGTTTATAGATTGATTTGATGTTCAATAACCTTAGAATATCTGAATAACCTATAAAGTTTGATGTCAAATTTTATAAATTTGTATTACTAGATTGTCATTTCTTAGAGAGCAAGTTACACGGTATGTTCTTTATATCCTGCCTCACATTATAAAGCACCTAAAAACTGACTGTCGTAAAAAATGCCCATGAAATATTCAGTAGAGAGAACAGTAGACATTTGTTCATCTGTTCACCATCTCTCACTTCTTATAAAAGCAGCAACTGTTTCACCATCCAATATCTTACTTAGATTTTTTCTTTTTTAAATTTGTGACTCAAAGAGTTGAAGTCATTTTACTACAGATTCTCTTTTAATAGCCATAATTATTAGTCCAAGAGGGCATATGACCTTAGCTATGCCAAACATATTGGTTCCCTAGAAATTTTCAAAATGGAGTTAATTTGGGTTAGGTTATTGTTTTTTTGCAATTAACGGCCCTGGCCAATACTAGAACATGTTGTATAATCTACTGCAATTGCCCATGTTTCATACATTGAAATTTTGATTTATATAAATAAGTTTTAAAAACACAACATATACTTGTCTGCATATTGTAGTAAGTGGCTTTCATTACAATGTGGTTGGGATACAGTATTCCATTTGGATGTTTGTTCAAAACTGATAATGTAAGATTCTTTAGTTTCAGTTATAGGAAGGCTAATATAATATTATCTGCAAATGGTTCCACAATCCTGATTCTTCTAATATCCTTTTTGTAAGCAATTTCTTTGGCCAAGAACTTTCAGACCCAAGATGTTTAAGCAAATAAAATATTTATAAACTACGAGGCAAACCCTATCCTTTTCAAAATTGTAATATTAATGTATTTTTAAAGATGGAAAATAATAAATACAACCAAATTAAAGTTGTTTTTTATTTTGTTTTTGTATTGTTAGGATAAAGTATTCCTATAGCCTCATGGAATGTAGCTTATGATGAAAAGTTTCTTCAGAAAACACATAATATTAGCAAACAATAAGAAGGATACAGTTGTACCTTGCTTAAACTGAAACTGCCCATTTTCTAGAGCAGAGTACACTCATGAGAGTTAAGAGGTGTGTAAAAGTGCAATCAATAGGAATACTCAGGTCCTGTTCAGTCTATGAAGCTTAAGAACAGTGGTACTAATGATGATGTTTATGACCTTATGAGCTTCAGTTTTGAAACATATGGGCTGAACTTTATTTGGGGGTATAAATTGTTAAAACCTTTGCAGAAACTCCACCGTTAAAAATTCAACCATTGTATATTGATTTTCACATTAATCCTAGGCACGTGGGACCATGTGAGCTTCAGATTGCAGTACCTGATGATGGAACAGGTTGACCTTCTGTGACAAATTAACCTTTTATTGCTACAAGATTGGGTATCCAAACAAAGCAAGAATGTATACCAATCAATAAAGCTCATACTTCAGATATGTCACCTGAATAATAAAATTACTAGCTTCCTAGAAAGGATATATGAATGCAACAAAGGCTAAAAATATTTATTAAACAAGAGGTTCATGTAAATAATTATTTTTTAATTTCAAAATTAGAATTATGTTTTAATGTATTTTTCTGCTTGTAGATATTCCTTTATAGACTTTGTTTTGATATACTCAGAAAACCCTGGCCACTCACCCTTTCAGGCCTGGACAAGAGCTAGGGAATAAAACATGCTGGTATTCTCAAACTTGCTGAATCAGCAGAACCACTTAAGAAACTTAAAAATGCAGGTACCTGGGACCCTATCCTGGAGATTTTGACTCAGTGGATCTAGAGACAGGTTCCAAAAGTTATTTCTTATTGTCACTACAAATGATACTACTGATCAGTTATGTTGGGAAACAAATTGGATAGACCAAGTTTAAAGTCTATTTTAGCCTATATGTTCTGTGAAACTGTAAAATTTTAAATCAGAGAATCATTTAATCTCTGTTAGATTATTTCTGTTTTCTGTAATTATTATTTCTTTTCCTTCCTTCCTTCCTTCCTTCCTTCGTTCCTTCCTCCCTCCCTCCCTCCTTCCCTTCCTTCCTTCCTTCTTTCCTTCCTTTCTTTCCTTTCTTTCCTTTCTTTTCAACTATTATTTTAGGTTCAAGGGGTATATGTCTAGGTTTGTTACAATGGGAAATTGCATGTCACTGAGGTTTGGTGTATGAACGATCTTGTAACTCAGGTAGTCAGCATAGTACCTGAGAGGTAGTTTTTCAACCCTTGCTCCTCTCTCATGCTCCCACCCTAGTAGTTCTTAGTTCCCATTGTTCCCATGTTTATATACATGTGTACTCAATGTTTAGCTCTCACTTATAAGTGATAACATGAGGTATTTGGATTTCTGTTTCTGTGTTGGTTTGATTTGGATAATGGCCTCCAGCTGCATCCATGTTGCTGCAAAGGACATGATCTTTTTTTACGGCTGCATAGTATTCCATGGCATAGGTGTACCACATTATTTATAACCAGTCTACTGTTGATGAGCATCTAGGTTGATTACATGTCTTTTCTATTGTGAATAAGGGGACAATGAATATACAAGTGCATATGTCTCTTTGGTAGAACAAATTATTTTGCTTTTTTTGTATACCCAGGAATGTAATTGCTGGGTTGAATGGTTAGCTGTGTTTTAAGTTCTGGGAGAAATCCCTAAACTGCTTTCCACAGAAACTAATTTACATTCCCACCAACAGTGTATAAGTGTTCCATTTTCTCCAGAACTTCACCAACATCCGTTTTTTGACTTTTTAATAAAAACCTTTCTGACTCGTGTGAGATGCAACCTCCCACCTCCTGGGTTAAAGAGATTCTCATGCCTCAGCCTCCTGAGTAGCTGAGATTACAGGAGTGCCCCACTAAACTGGCTAATTTTTGTATTTTTAGTAGAGACAGGGTTTCACCATGTTGGCCTGGCTAGTCTCAAATTCCTAGCCTCAAGTAATCTGCCTGCTTTGGCCTCCCAAAGTTCTGGAATTACAAACATGAGCAACCATGCCCTGCTTCTTTCTTTCTTTCTATTGATTGAAACACAGAAGCTGATTCAGTTAGTTGTATACTCAGTATCCAATTTTCTTTGCTTTTCTTTTAGCAGAACCCTAATTTGGGGCCAATGTCGACTCAATAAATATTAATTAGTGATATTAGTCATGGTTCTCCAGAGAAACGGAAGCAATAGTGTCATGGGATTCTTGGGGTGTCGCTTCACCAGCTGGAAACATCTGTGGCCAGTGGTACTTTTGCCTGAGTTTTGCTCGGGCTGGCTGGACTTGTTCTACCCATGTGGCCTGGGAGGCTGCAATTGGCTTGTGCTACCAGCCTTCATCCCACACCTGCCAATGGCAAGCCAGGTGTGAAAAGGCAAGGGGTGTGTGAGCAAGTGTGGGGTCTGGCCATTGTGCACAGCCAGGTACGCCTGCTACAGCAAGGCAGAGAGCTTCAGGCACTGACACAGGCACCGGCTCCCTGTGAGGCTGTGGCTGGACGAGTCATGCCTCAAGCAGCTTCCATGGCTGCCACTGGGGAACATGGTGGTGCCCAGATGCTGGGAGACATGAAGAACCACAGATTCCCAAAAAAGGGGTCAAAGCCCTGGCTCAGGGAGCTGAGAGGTCTGGGCTCCCCAAAGGGCTGCACCTCTTCTCTCCTTCTCTCTTCTCTTCCTCTTGTTGCCCACAACATGCCAAGCAAGGGGCATGTTCAGCCCTATCTGTTACAGCTCTTTTAGCCCTGCCATTTGGTGGGTGCCATCTTCTTGTCTTGCATTCAGGAAGAATGCAGTAGATAGAAAATTGGAGGGTGAGAAAGGCAAAGAGAAGCTTTATTGAGCCACAGAACAGCTCAAAAGAGACCCGCAGTGGGTAGCTCCTCTCTGCAGGTGGGGTGTCCTAATGAGTGTTTAGCCCTCAGCAGGGAGAAGACCTTGGTGTGAGTAGCTCCTCTCCACAGCTGGTCACCCCATTGTCTCTTCAGCTCTCAGCAGAGAGGAGACCCTGGGACAGGTAGTTGCTCTCTGCAGATGGCCAACCTGTCATCTCTTCAGCTCTGAGGAGAGAGAAGACTCTGGGGTGGGTAGCTCCTCTCCACAGCTGGTCATCCCATTACCTCTTCAGCTCTCTGCAGAGAGAAGACCATGGGGTAGGTAGCTCCCCACACATCTGGCTGTCCCATCATCTGCTCAACTCTGGCTGAGTCCAGGATTTTCATGGGCCTCAGTGGGGAAGAAGTACATGCTTATTGTTCCATGGGCAGCCATGGGAGGACCCAGTAAAAGCATCACAACTTCTCATACTGATCCACGGGACAAGCAACTCTGCCCCCAGGCTTCAGACCCTCCCTGACTGGAAGGTGGAGCTTCACAGGGGACCCTCCCCCTTCTTCCAAGAAGCCTGTCTGCCTTCTGTCACCATTCATGGCACACATGCTCTTCATGCCAAGGGGTGCTCGACAGCCAGTGCTGAGCTGCCCTCAGCTCCCCCTCAGTCTCCCCTCTGTGTTTGCCAATGCCCAAACTCCAGAGGGGACCAAGGCAGCAGGGAGCTGGTGTGTCAGCACTGCTCCAAGCATGTGCACATCTGGCTGGGCTGGGACAACACCCAGGCTCGGCCCCAACCTTGCTCTATGTTATGAGTGGGTGCTAGGAGCAAGGAGAGGCCAAGTAGCAGAAGCAGACATTTCTGAGCATGCAGAGGTTGGGGCAGGCTTTCCTGGGCCCCCAAGAATAAAGAGATGCCTGGGTTCACAGCTGTGACTTGGGTGGCTGCAGCTGCACCTGGGAGGGCAGGGCTCCTTCCTGCTCCCGGCCCCTCCTGGCTTTGTGGAGTGCACAGCCCTGGTAGCACCTACCCCACTGCAGATGGCATCATGGCAGCAGCAATTCCAGATGGGCCACCACAGCCATCAATACCCCATCTAAAGAGGTACTTCTAACTGCCATTAGGATTGGGACAATGACCGCTCTTAACTGCTTAATACAGACAGTGGGTGTTCTTTTGGGGAAAATAGGAGTCATATCTTCTCTCAGAAGCCTGTGTAAGGGTTCACAGTAAAAAGGGGGTCATCATCCAAGGCTTCAGTTGCATGACTGCTTGGAGTTTTATGGCTTCTAGGCAAGAAGAAACACACTTTACAAAGAGGTTAAGTATGCAATGGGCTGCTTCAACCTGGTGGAAGAAATTAAAAATTGTATGAGATCAGTTAAGCTTTAAAAGAGAAATGATTGTTTAGAGGGGTAGATAATCCCTTGGGAAGGGGTACTTAACAAAGATGTCTTATGGTGAGGAACAGAACAAAGGTGAGAACAATAAGCATAGGATAACAATGGAGAGTTAACTATCAACACTTATCTTTTGTGATTTTTAGCTTGAGGTCCCTGAGTCCTTCATTCTGGTACTTCAGGTGTTCTCCTGGTTCAACAGAAGTAATTTCTTCAGTTTCCCAGGCCTTTACTTGAGTATAAAAAATCCAAGAATCTATTCCAGTGACCTTTACTGCTGTAGGAGTAGAAAGAAGTACACTGTAAGGTCCTTCTCATTTCAGGACTAGAAAGGGAGAAAGGGAAAAAAGTGCCTTTATCATTATTAAGTCTCTTGGGTTAAACAGAAGTGGCCCTAGCTCATGGGATTGGGGTTCTGATAGTTGTTTCAGTTCATGTTGGAAACAAGCCAAAAAGATTATATGCTTAATCAAATCAGAGAGGTTTTCTTGGCCTAGCAAGAAACCACTGGTGAGAAAAGACCATCCATACATCATTTTTAAGGGACTTAAACCCAGCTTCAAAGGGGTGTTTCTAAAAAGTAGTGGGGCAATGGGGAGAAGAGTAATCCAGGGCATATGAGTCTCTTGAGACAGTTTTCTGATGTGCCTTTTGAGAATATCATTTGTCTTTTCTACCTTTCCCCAGGACTGTGATTTCCCAGCACAATGAAGGTAGTGCTGTATGCCTAATGACTTTGAGACCCCCTGGGTGACAGTCACCTTGAATGAGGGGCCATTTTCACTCTGGAGGTATTTAAGAAGTCCAGAGCAAGGAATTATTTCATTAATCAGTACTTTTATCACCTCAGAGGCTTTCTCCATTTGACATGGAAATACTTCTACCCAGTTAGTGAAGGTATCTACCCATACTAGGAGATACTGGATGCTCCTTGTCTTTGGCATATGGGTGAAATACATCGGCCAGTCTTCCCCCCAGGTAACCTCCTGTTCTTTGGGTTCTGGGAGAGAGAAGCTGTCAATTGAAGAGATTATTTTTAAGACAAGTCTCACAAGCATTAATGACCTGTTTGACCATTTTTTTTTTTACCTGAGAACAACCTTTGGTCCACTTAATAGGTTTTATCCTTACCTAGGTGGAAGGCTTGGTGGAGGATTTTTAAAACTTTCCATTGGCTGGAAGCTGGTAGATGAAGTTTGCCATCCTCCAATTGCAGCCATCCTGAGGACTGAAGAGTATATCACTAAGAGGTAGCCCATCCTATCTCTGCAGAGGAATACTGATTTTTTTAAAATTATTATTATTTTATGGAGCCCTCCCAGATCACAAGGGCCTCAAGTGGATCAGAAATATGGAGCCCTCTCACTGTTGACTTAGCTGCTTGGTCTGCCAACTTTCTTTCCTCAGCTATTTTATTTGTTCCCTTTTGGTGGCTTTCACTGCCACTTTCCATGGAAGAAAGACCAAGGATAGTAGTCTGTTGATTTCCTGATGTTATTTAATGGATGACCTATTGGCTTTGAGGAAGTCCCTCTCTTTCCAGATAGCGGCATGAGCATGGAGGACTAGGAAAGCAAACTTAGAATCAGTATAAATGTTAACTGCTTTCCCTTTGGTTAATTCAAGTGCTCCCATAAGGGCAATTAGCTCAGTTAGTTGAGCACTTGTGCCAGAGGAAAGAGGTGCTCTCAATAACGTCATTTAGGGTGACTATTTTATACCCTGCCTTACAGACCCCTTGCTCTACAAAGAAACTTCTGTCCATAAGTATTCCAGTCTGGGTTGCCTAAGGAGGTTTCTTTGAGGCCCTCTCTGCCACATAGCTTTGGACTACTATCTGTTTACAGTAACGTTCAAGCTCCTCAGCTTCGTCTTAGAGGAAGGTGGCTGGGTTTAGGGAGGGACAGATTTTTAACTGGACTGCAGATCTCTCTAATATCAGATCTTGATTTTTAAAGAGGTGGTTGTCCACTAGTCAGAGACTCCCCTCAGAAGATAGCAGTCCTGTCACATTATGTGGGGCATAAATGGTGAAGTTATTCCCCATGGTAAACTTAGTAACCTCTGGTACCAGCAAAGCTACCACTGCAACTGCCTGTAGGCAGGCTGGCCATTCTTTAGCTACTAAATCAAGCTCCTTGCTTAGGTAGCCTACAGGCTGCTGCTTGACCTCAGGCCTTTGTTAGAACTCCCAGGGCCATTCCCTTCCTTTCTAAAACATAAAGATTGAACATCTCCCAAATGGGAAGACTATGAGCACAGTGCCTCAAGCAAGGCTTGCTTTAATTGGTCAAAGGCCCTTTTAGGCTCTGGTTCCCAAGTTAGGGAGTGGGTATTAGCTGCCTGAGTCTCCTTTATTAGGTGATATAAGAAATGAGCTATTTCACTGTGCCCAGGTATCCATAGCCTGCAGAATCCTTTAATGCCCAAGAATACCCTCAGTTGCTTGAAGGTTTGGGGGATGGAAAAGGAGGAGATAGGCTTGATTCTTTCTTTGCCTAGTGCCCTGGTCCCCTCTGACAAGACTAGGCCCACGTACTTCACTGAAGTCTGACAGAGTTGAGCCTTAGGTTTTGAGACCTTATATCCTCTGTTAGCCAGAAAATTAAGAAGAGCCTTACAGCCCTCCTGAGAAATTTCCTCAGGTGGGGCACAAAGGAGAATGTCACCTACATATTGTAAAACTTTAACCTGAGGATAAAGGAACTCTGACAGATCTTTTGACAACGCCTGTCCAAACAGGTGGGGGCTAGCTCGGAATCCCTGAAGTAATACTCTCCAGGTTAATTGAGTGGTCTGGTTGGAAGGATTCTCGAATGCAAACAAGTACTGGGAGTCGGGGTGTAATGGTATGCAGAAAAAAATTAAAAAATAAAATAAATAAATAAAAATTCTTTAGGTCCAGAACAGTAAACTATTTAGTTCCCTCACATATTTGAGTTAGCAGAGTATAGGGATTGGGAACTACCAGATGAATTGGAACCACAGCCTCATTAATGAGGTAGAGGTCCTGGACTAGTCTCCATTAACCATTGGGTTTCTGTACCCCTAATATGGGGCTATTATAAGGGCTGTTGCAGGGTTTGAGAAGGCCCTGCATCCTCAAATTATCAATGATGCCATCTAGTCCTTTCCTAACTTCTAGTTTTAGGGAATATTGTCTCTGGTTAGGGAAAGAGGGTAGGATCCTTAAGGTGGATCGAGAGCTGTGTGGTGACTGTGGCTCGGCCAGTTTTTCCGTGAGTTGCCCAAACTTCTGGGTTAATATCTGTCTCCACCAGGAGGAGACAAAGAGGTCTGTCTTAGAGCCATAAGGGTAGTGGTTCCCACAGGAGCCAAAATATCTCTGCCCAACAGAGGAATCTGGCTTTCAGGCATAATTTTAAAAGCATGAGTAAACAAGGGGTCTCTCTCATTACAACTAAGGATTTGGGAAAAATATCAGGTTAGAGGTTTTCCTGAGATGCTTCTCATGATAGTGCTAAGAGAGAAGGGGGCGGGGCGGGGGGGTGTTGCTAAATTGGAGAAAACTGAAAGGCTCATTCTGGTGTCCAGGAGGAGATGCACCTTCCTTCCTTCAACTTCCAGAATCACATAGGGCTCCTGGATGATAATGGCGGTCTGGACCAACAGAGCTGAGGAGAGGACCCCTGGTATGCATCAGTTCTGCTGGACCATTTAGGAAACTGGCTCTGGACCTGATAACCTGTGTCTCGGGGGACAGTCTGCCTTCCAGTGGTACCCATTACACATTGGTCAGGCTTGAGTTGACTTCCTCATGTTGCTTGAGCAGTTCTTCCTAAAGTGTCCTGACTCCTGACTTTGTGATGCTATTATTAAGTACATGAACTAACCAACCTTGTAGCTATGCTACCTTTAGATTTCCAATGTGAACTAATAAACCTTTTTGTTATTGTTGTTTAAGTTCCTGGCATATTTCAGTTGAAATAATTGTAAGGGTTCTTAGGAACTGTATTTAAAAATATTGGCAATATTACACTATGAAGCAATCATGAGTTTCCTTATCTCTAATAAATGGGAAAATCTCTATTATGTGAGTTTATTATATGTTTTGTGTTCTTCTCTTAGTTTCCTGTAGCTATCATAAAATATTACTACAAATTTGGTGGCTTATAACTTAAATTTATCATCTCACTGTTCTGGAGAATGAAACTTCAAAAAATAGTACACCTGCACTCACTACAGGGCTGTAGCAAATAATCCATTCCTTGCTGCTCTTCTAACTTCTGGTGGCTACCAGAAATCATTGACGTTCCTTGGTTTGTAGCCACATCACTTCAATCTCTGCCTTCATCTTCACATCACTGTCTCCTCTGCATCTGTCCATCTGTCTCTTCTTCTTTCTATGTCTTCTATAAGGAAACTTACCATTGGATTTAAGGTCCACCTAGATAATCTAGGATGATATCCTAATCTCAACAACCTTAACATACTTATATATGCAAATACCTTTTGTTTTCAAATAAGATAACAGGTCATGGGGATTAAGATGTAGACCTTTATTTTGGGGGCCACCATTCAGCCCACTCTAGTCTCTAACACTAGCATTTGGCATCAAAAGATAGGGATTTCTTTTCTAGTTCTAAAGTTAACTGGTTATGTGACCTTGAACTAATCATGTTTGTTTTCCCTTGAACTAATCACGTTTGTTCCTATTCAGTTTAGTCATCTGTTGGAATAAAAGAACTCTACTTGATAGTCTCTAAAATCCATTTCTTCCCAAATCTAATTTCTCTAATCTAATGTTTTTTATGGTGCTTTATTTCATAAGAAGAGTACATAGAAAAGAACATAACAGAAACTTGCCATATTTCATGATATCCTAAAGTTCAATATTTAGATCCAAAATGCACATGGAGTCTGGGAAAAATATGAAAAAGAGAAAGCAGCATGTTTTTGAGTGAAGTTTTGTCCCTAGTGGAAACACTTGGCAGGAGCACCATGATGTTTATATACATGTATAAAATAGCAAAAACAAATAACAACAAATTTACCATACTAACAGCTTTTAAGTGTATAATTCAGAATTCCTATGTATAGTCACATTATTATGAAAGATATTTCCAAAACTTTTTCATCTTGCAAATTTGAATCTTTGTGTCCACTAACAGCCACTTTCCTTTTCCCTTCAGCAGTTGGTAAACAACATTCTACTTTCCATTTTTATAAATTTAATTAATTTAGACATCTCATACAAGTGAAATTGTAGAGTATTTTGCCTTTGTGACTAGCTAATTTTATTTAGCATTATGTCCGCAGGGTTTATTCATGTTATAGCATATGACAAGATTTCTTTCTTTTTAAGACTGAATAATATTTCATCGTATATGTACATGACATTTTGTTTATCCATTCATATATCAATGGGCATTTGTGTTCTTTCCACCTCTTAGCTATTGGGAACACCATTAAAAATATTAAATTATGCTTGTTAAAGCATGATAAGGCAGATTTTATTCAGGATCACTGCAATAGGCATAGTGACCACTGCAACAGGATTTTGAAGTGGGGTAGAGAGATTGTTCATAACTTCAAATATAGCATGATTAAGGAGAAATTTATAGCCAAGAATCAGTGATGAGGTCAGTGAATGGTAAATTATTAAGAGAAATAAAATCAAGGATAACTGAGATTCTAACTAAATGAACATAGGATTCTTGCTGAAGACAGCCCAGGGTGCTGAAGCGTCACATGGGGAATGATGAAAGATAAGGATCCTGATCATATATCAAGGATGATCACATATTGAGAGTGGGGGGGAGTACTTTCTAAACAGACTGCCATGGTTTAAATGTCCCCCAAATCTATGTGTTGAAACTTCATTGCCAATGTGACAGTATTAAAAAGTGGGATCTTTTGGAGTTGATGGGGGAAGAGCTTTTGTGAATAGGATTGATAACTTATAAATGGATTGGAGGAATCTGGCTAGGCCATTTTGCTTTTCCACATTTTACCACAGCATTCAAAAAGCTATCTTCGAAGCAGAGATATGACTAACACCAGACAATAAATCTCCTAGTGCCTACAGCTTGGACTTTCCGCCTCTAGAACTGGCAGAAATAAATTTGTGTTCTTTATAAATCATCCAGTCTTAGGTATTTTGTTATAGCAGCATAAATTGACTAAGACACTGACTTAGCAGGATTATCTGGTAAAAATCAACTTTAAAAGGAGGTACGCAGTTGAGCCTATGAGAAGGTTCAGGAACTTCACTAAAGATTACCCAAGCAAAGAATCCTTGTCAGCCTCCCTCTTGTTTAAGAAAATAAGACACATCCTTTTTTTCTTTGAATGTTATAAGTCCATTTTCTCATTTAACTAGTTTTTCATTAATGAGGAAGTGACTTATCTGTTGCGACTATGTAGTAGAAAGTATTTGCTGAATTCTCATAGCAGGTAGGCATTTAATGAGGGGAGGTTGGTGTCTATAAAAATAAAAGTAAAACAAGGTTAATAGTTGGAAAAATCTATAAACTCAGTTTCTGAGTCCACAGGGCAGCCAGTCAAGATTTTTATAAGATTGCCAACTAGACACAACCAGGAGAAATGTCTGCCACTGACAGACTGGTACTTTGGAAAGACTGACACACTCTGAGCATATCTTCAGAGGGAAGGCATTGAGAGTGGGTAGAGGAAGGACATAGATGTCGTACTAAAGGCAAAGGAAGCTGAGAACACTGTACAGAGCTGATGGGCACTGGGACTCATTACTGGCCTCTGATGACTCATGGGGAAGAAAAGAGTTAAACGGGAGAGGAGTGGCTCAGTCTCAGCATGGACCTTGGGAATCCTGGCAGCAAGAGACCCCATGACCTCCATAGACACTTGAGCTGGCAGGAGGAGGTGCTGAGAGACATAGGAAAAGCAGGACTTATGCCTGAGTGGAGCCAAGAGGGTTTAGAACAGGAAAGTCTGTAGTGGAGCATGACCAGGGATACCCATCCCACAAGGCTCACCATACTCCTCTAAGGAACTAGCTGTGGAGTGACCATCAGACCTGGACAGAGCAAAGTGGCCTTGCCTATGAGATAGTGTCAGTTCTATCTGAGTGCTCCCCTGTCTGCTAGCCCATCCCAGGCCCACAGCCTGACATGGCTCACTTGGAGTACATCCTCAGAAGCCCAACCAAGTTGTTCCTGGGGTCCCTCATCATTGCTCCTTCACTGGCAGACTGTGCCTGTCCATTGGAGAGCTCCAGCAGGGTGGCCTCCACAGATACCAGCCCATCTGTACCCTCCAAACACAGGAGCCACCCCTATGCCATGAATATATGGGCCTCATCTCAGAGACTGAGATTTAGAGCATGCAGTACAGGAGTCTTGAGCTGAGCCTTTACCCTCTAAAATCTTTCAGAAATAAGCAGGTTGACTGAATCCAACATATAGCATAATCAAACTCCCAAGGGCATCAAAGAAGATAAAAGTAAAAAAATAATAATCTAAAGGATACCAACATCAAAGACAGAAGGGAAATCAGCCAATGTAGATGAGAAAGAATCAGTGCAAGAAATCTGGAAACTCAAAAATCCAGTGTATTTATACCTCTAACCTCTGCACTAGTTCCCCAGCAATGGTTCATAACCAGGCTAAAATGGCTAAAAACCAGAAATACTATTCAGAATGTGGATAAGAATGAATATCATTGATATTCAGGAGAATGTCTAAACCAAATCCAAGAAATCTAAGGAATACAGTAACAAGGTACGGGAGTTGAAAGATGAAACGGTCAATTTTAGAAAGAACCAAGCTGATCTGATAGAGCTGAAAATGTCACATCAAGAATGTCATAATACACTTGCAAGCATTAACAGCACAGTTGACCAAGCTGAGGAAAGAATTTTATTAGGTTGCAAAAGTAATTGTGGTTTCTGCCATTATTTTTAATGTCAGAGATTACAATTACTTTTGCACCAACTGAATAGCTTGACAAAGGAAAGAATTTTCAGACATGTTCTTCAAAATAACTCAGTCAGACAAAACTTTTTAAAAATAAAGAAGAATGAACAAACACTCTAAGATATAAAGGATTATGTTAAGAAACAAAATCTACAACTCACTGGTGTCCCAGAAAGAGAAGGAGGAAAAGCAGGCAACTTGCAAAACATATTTCAGGGTATTATCCATAAAAATTTCCCCAACCCCTTTAGAAACAATTAAAATTCAAATTGAAAAATGCAGAGAATCCCTAGGAGCTATTATAAAATATTACCATCCCTAAGAACCATAATCATCAGATTCTACAAGGCTGTTATAAAAAATAAACAACAACAACAAAAAAACATGTTGAAGGCATTTAGAGAGAAAGAGCAGGCCACCCGTTATGCAAAGGGAACCCCCATCAGGTTAACAGTGGACATTTTAGCAAAACCCCAACAAGCCAGAAAGGACTGGGGGCTTATATTAAACATTCTTAAAGAAGAATTTTCAGCTGAGAATTTTATATCCAGCCAAACTAAGCATCATAGGTGAAGGAGAAATAAACCCTTTTCAGACAAGAAAATGCTAAGGTAAGTTGTTTCCACCAGACCTGCCTTACAAGGGGTCCTTAAGGGAGTGTTAAATGTGGAAATAAAAGACCAGTACTGGACATTACAAAAACACACGTAAGTACAAAGAACACTGACACTATAAAGTAACCACACAATCAAGTCTGGATAATAACCAGCTAACAACACTATCATGGGATCAAATCAGCACATATCAATACTAATTTTGAATGTACATGAACTAAATGCCTCAATTAAAAGGTTAAGAATGGCATTGGATAAACAAAACTCAATAGTACACTGTCTTCAGGAGATCAAATTTGTGTTCAATGACATTCATGGGTTTAAAGTAAAGGGATGGAGAAAAATCTACCAAGATAATGCAAAACAGAAAAAATCTGAAGTTGCCATTCTAATTTTAGGCAAAACAGACTTTAAATCAACAACAACCAAAAAAGACAAAACAGGGCATTACCTAATGGTAAAGGTTTCAATTCAACAAGAAGTCCTAACTATCCTAAATATCTATGTACCCAAAACAAGAGCATCCAGATTCATAAAGCAAGATTTTAGACATCACTGAAGAAGAGACTTAGATAACCACACAATAATAGTAGAAGGATTTAACAACCCGCTGACAGTATTAGATAGATAATAGAAGCAGACAACTAACGAATATATTTAGGACCTGAACTAGACATTTTACCAACTAGGGCTAATAGACATATACAGAACTCTCCAACCCAAAACAATAGAATATACATTCTTCATATTTGCACATGGCGCATGCTCTAAAATCAAATACACAATTATACATAAAGCAATCTTCAGCAAATTTTTAAAAATCATATGAACTAGCATAGCACATTAAAAATAGAAAGAGCATTACTGGAAACCATTACATGGAAATTAATGCAAGTTAAGCAACCTGATTCTGAATCACTTTTGGGTAAACAATAAAATTAAGAAGGAAATTAAGAAATTTTTTGAAATGAATGAAAACAAATATATAATATTTGCAAATCTCTGGGACACAGTTAAATCGGTGTTAAGAGGAAACTTTATAGCATTGAACACCCACATCAAAAAGTTAGAAAGATCTTAAATTAATCACGTAACATCAAACTTAGGAGTTAGAGAAACAAGACCAGGCCAACACAAAAGCTAGTAGATGACAAAAAAATAACCAAAATCATAGCTGAATTGAAGGAAATTGAGATGCAAAAAATGCACAAAAGATAAAATAATCCAGGAGTTTGTTATTTAAAGAGTAAATAAGAAATATAGACTGCTCACTATTCACAATAGCAAAGACTTGGAACCAACCCAAATGCCCATCAATATTAGACTGGATAAAGAAAATATGGCACATATGCACCATGTAATACTATGCAGCCATAAAAAAGGATGCATTCATGTCTGTTGCAGGGACATGGTTGAAGCTGAAAACCACCATTCTCAGCAAACCAACACAGGGACAGAAAACCAAACACCACATGTTCTCACTCATAGGTGGGAGTTGAACAATAAGAACACATGGACACAAGAAGAAGAACATCACACACCAGGGCCTGTTGGGGGTGTGGGGCAAGGGGTGAGAAAGCATTAGGACAAATACCTAATGCATGCAGGGCTTAAATCCTAGATGACAGGTTGATGGGTGCAGCAAACCACCATGACACATGTATACCTATGTAACAAACCTGCACGTTCTGTACATGTATCCCAGAACTTAAAGTATAATAAATAAATAAATAAGAAATGTAGATTGCTAGCTAGACTAACACAGAAACAAAGAGAGAAAAACCAGATGAACACAATCACAAATGACAAAGGGGCATTAACACTGACCCCACAAAAATGAAAGGAAAAGAAAAAAAACACAAAGAGACTCCTAAGAACACTTTTTGCACTCAACCTAGAAAATCTAGAATAAATGGATAAATTCCCAAACGTGCAACCTACCAAGATTGAACCAGGAAAGTATGAACCCTTGAGCTAACCAGTAATGAGTTCTGAAATTGAGTCAGTAATAGAAAGGCTGCCAAATAGAAAAAAGCCTGGAACCAGATGGATTCAAAGCTGAATTATATCAGATGTATAACGAAGAGCTTGTCTCATTCCTAGTGAAATTATTACAAAAATTGAGAAGGAGGGACTCCTTCCTAACTCACTCTATGAGGCCAGCAACATTCTGATATAAAAACCTGGCAGAGACACAACAATAAATATAAAATTCTGGCCAATATATTTAATGAATATAGATATGAAAATCTTCAACAAAATACTAGCAAACTAAATTTATCAGCACACTCAAAAGCTAATCCACCATGATCAAGTAGGATTTATACCTGGGATGTAAGGTTGTCTCAACATATAAAAGTCAATAAATGAAATTCATCACAAAAATAGAACTAAAAACAGAAACCAAATGATCACCTCAAGAGACACAGAAAAGGCTTTCCATAAAATTCAATATCTGTTCATGTTTTTAACCCTCAAAAAACTAAGCATTATAGGAAAATATCTCAAAACAATAAGAGGCATCTCTGACAAACCTGCAGCCAACATCATACTGAATGGGCAAAAGCTGGAAGCATTCCCCTTGAGAGCTGGAACAAGACAAAGATGTCCACTCTCACCACTCCTGTTCAACATAGTACTGGATCCTAGCCAGAGAAATCAAGCAAGAAAAAGAAATAAAAGGCTTTCAAATAGGAATACAGTAAGTCAAAATATCTCTGTTTTCAGATGATATTATTTTGCATGTAGAAAATATCACAGTCTCTGGAAAAAGCTCCTAGATCTGATAAACACAGGATACAAAATCAGTGCACAAAATCAGTAGCATTTCTATACACATATAGTGTCAAAGTTGAGAGCCAAATCAAGAATGCAAACTCATTTACAATAGCCATGAAAACGATTAAATGTCTAGGAGTATAGCTAACCAGAGAGGTGAATAATCTCTACAATGAAAATTTTTTAAAAATGCTAAAAGATAAGATGACACAAACAAATAGAAAAAAAAAATCCATGCTTATGGATACAATCAATATTGTTAAAATGGACAAACTGTCCCAAGCAATTTATAGATTCAATGGTATTCCTATCAAACTTGCAGCAATATTTTCAACCGAATTAGAAAAAACTATTCTAAAATTCATATAGATCCCACAAAAGTACCCAAATAGCCATAGCAGTCCTAAGCAGAAATGAAAAAGCTGGAGACATCAGATTACCTAGCTTCACACTATACGACAAGGCTACAGAAAGCAAAATAGCATGGTACTTGTACTAAAACAGACACATAGATCAATGAACTAAAACAGCCCAGGAATAAATTCACACACCTACAACATCTGATCTTTGACAAAGTCAGTAAAAACAAGCAATGTGGAAAGGACTATATTCAATAAATGCTGCTGGGATAACTGGTTAGCCTTATGCAGAAGATTGAAACTAGACCCCTTTCATACACCTTATACAGAAATCAACTCAAGATGGATTAAAGACTTAAATGTAAAACTTGAAACTATAAAAATCCTGGAGGGTAACCTAGGAAATATTATTCTGGACATAAGCTGTGACAGAGTTCATGACAAAGTCATCAAAAGCAATTACAACAGAAACAAAATTGACAAATAGGACCTAATTAAACTAAAGAGCTTCTGCACAGCAAAAGAAGCTATCAACAGAGTAAACAGACAACTTACAGAATTGGAGAAAATATTTGCAAACTATGCATCTGACAAAGGTCTAATATCCAGAATCTTAAAGGAATTTAAACAAATTAACAAGTAAAACCAACAATCCCATTACAAAGTGGGCAAAGGACATGAACACACACTTTTCAAAAGAAGATATACATGCAACCACCAAGCATATGAAAGAATGTTCAGCATTACTCATCATTAGAAAAATGAAAATCAAAACCACAATGAGATAGAGTCTCACATCAGTCATTATGGTTATTATTAAAAAGTAAAAAAATAACAGATGCTGGTGAAGTTGCAGAGAAAATATAATGCTTGTACACTGCTGTTAAGCATTTAAATTGGTTCAGCCATTGTGGAAAGCAATGTGGTGATTTCTCAAATAACTTAAAACAGAATAACCATTTGACCCAGCAATGCCATTATTGTATGTGGATATACATATATATTTATATCCAATGGAGTATAAATTGTTATACCGTAAAGACATATACACATGTATGCTTTTTGCAGCACTATTCACAATAGCAAAGACATGGAATCATCCAAAATTTCCATCAAGAGTAGACTGGGTAAAGAAAATGTGGTACATATATATCATACAATACTACACATCCATAAAAAGGAAAAAGATCATGTCTTTGAAGCAACATGGATGTTGCTTGAGGCCATTGTCCTAAGTGAACTAATGTAGGAACACATTACCAAATACTACAGATTTTCACTGGTAAGAGGGAGCTAAATATTGAGTAGGCATGGACAGAAAGAAGGGAACAACAGACACCAGGGCCTACTTGATGGTGAACAGTGGGAGGAGGGCGAGGATCAATAAACTACTTATTGGGTTCTATGTTTATTACCTGAATGTCAAAATACTCTGTACACCAAAACCCAACGATACACAGTTTATCTACATAGCAGTCCTGCACATGTATCCCTGAACCTAAAATAAAAGTTTAAAAACAAAGACCTTTCGATTTCAGCTCATCTTCACTTTGTAAAGTGAAGATGATACTGTGAATCTAATGGATATCCATTGTTTGAAGTTTATATCAGATATCATGGTAAACTTTCTGATTACTCCATGCAACAATAGGCCTGAAGATTCTTCATAAACAAGCTGATATTATTTCTCTGAAGTCTATATCTAGTTATCCAGCTTACAGGGTGTCAGAAAAAGAGTAAATTTTTATTTACTTCAAACTAGAAGAGTGAGAGAAAATTTGGAAATATTAGTATGGAGAGCTGTAGCCAGATATTGGGGGAAACTGGAAGAACTCAGGGTCTGGTGCAGTTTGTAGGTAAATAAAAACAAACGTCAAAAAGAGTGGACAGGGGTAGAACCTAACAGCAGGTGCTATAGATATGTTATCCACTGAAACATAATTTTTTTACACACACCCCATTTCTATAAGACAATCAAATAAGACAAATTTGCTTGCAAAATTGGTCTAGTCCAATTAAGCTGTGCCTGATTATTTACATAAAAGAAGCATTGGTACTGATGAATCACAGAGGCTCTTTTTAAGTGTACTTTTCTGAAATTTTTAATAAGAAATCTCATATTGGACTTCTAAAAGCCTCTAAAGTCCAAGAAACCAAGCCAATAACTTATAATCCTATTTTTCCTACAATACTTACAGATTTGGGTAAATTTATCTTTTCTCAGGGTCCTGAAACTATCCTGAGGTTCCTGAGCCTGGAAGGATATGACACTTCTTAGTCACTTTTGAGGTAATCATGTAAGGAAACCATGTATGTAATGTACCAGGCCACTTTTTTCCACAAGGGGCTTCATTAGTTTTGTAAAGTCAATCTTAATTTCTTAAAGTTGTCTGGTCATGTATAAAATATGGCATTCCAATTAAAGCTTTGGTAGTATGACCAATATTTTGAATTGTGTCTTGTTAAAGGAAGAACAGACTCTTATTAAACTTATGCAAATAACTATATTTCTATTAAAATAATAACACTAATTACTAGTTTCTGAATTCTGGAGGGATGAGGTAAGGAGAAAAAGTAAATGTTTCCATTTTTGTTCACAGAAGTATACTTTATAAAATTGCTATAAGCTACAGAGAGCTTAAAACAACAACAAAAAAAGGTTTCTTTAAATTAGAAAGAAAACCATTAAAAACTAGAAATGCTTCTAAGAAAAATATCATTTAAAAATATCCTCATCAGTTTATTCAGGCCTACGTAATTAATTCTTGTTCTACTTCATCTTGGTTACCAGTTTCGTGAATCTGTCAGTTTCTTCATTATAGTCCTGAAATTTTTTTTCAGTTCAATATTATGATCTTAAATTTATCAGAAATATATATTCCAGAGTACTTGTCAGAGTCTTTATAATAAATTTTGGACATAGCTGACTGAAAATACTTTCAGAGAAGAATCAATGTAAAACAATAACTGTCAATAAAAAGCTTGAAATCTTTATAGTTAAAGATCTGATAAAAATTCATTACAATAATGATGAAATTAACAAGGAAATTTGATTATTTTGTGAATCAAATATTTTAACATATTTTAAGAGAGAAAGATAAATTCTAATTTTTCATCAGTGTACTATTAATACTAAAGCTAGTTTTTTTAATGAAATTTATAAATGAATCTATCCAATCTCAACCAGCTTTGAACACACAAGATTTATTTTTCAAGATTGCCTTCATGTAAGCCATTTATAGCATTTAAAACATATTCATCAGCCTTTTTGCCTCCTACATTTTGTCTTTCTTACTTTGGAACAATCAGTCATTCTACTTTATTAGAATTATCATTTTATTAGTTTTACAGAATTAATTACTCCTTTTTTCCTTAACAGAAAACATATCATAATTTGAAACATTCCTTACCAAAACCACCTGTCATTTTCCTTGTATGCTTGATCATGAGAGTTGTTTCACTTGTAATTTATAGTAGTTTTAATTTCATATATTACTTAGAAGTTTTAATACTTAGCAATTGTAATTTCTAATGAAAACTATAAGCAACTGTGAACTGTCAAATACCAACATTGTGTAGATAAATACTATTTTATAATTTTTAGAAACATATGGCATAATTTCTGATGTTTATTAACAGACCAAAATATATTTAGCTTTTTCTGTAAAATTTAAGAAAGCAAAAGTAGATAAACTTAAATGTATGTTCAACAATTAATATTTTAGTATTTTATTTTTCTTAGAAATGACCCATACATGTAATAAATACCTCTTACTTTACTTAATTTACAATAACTTTAAGGTTGTGAGTTACCAAAAAGATTTTGGAAACTATTTTTAATTGGATATATATTTTACAAGGAAAAATTGTTGTTGAAAAGTTTATTTATAAATTTTTATCCCATTTACACTTTTTAATTCACTTGTTATGTTGAATTTCTCATGAAAATATCATGAGCCATTTAGCAATGCTAGCCGTCATCTCAAATCATTTTCCTCTTTACAATTTTTACAGCCTGTGCATGTTAGGCAGTCATCATGAAAGCAAGAATTCTAAAAAAAAATTATACATAGGCTTTTTTTGTTTTGTTTTGCTGCTGTGTTTAATAATCATATAGCAAAGGACAAGGCAGTTTCACTTGCACATTTGTTCTTTGACTAAACTCATACTTTTATAATCTTAAAGTAGTAGAGATAATTTGTTTGACTAGTAAATCCAGATAGAATAAAAATGTGTCTACAGTATACTTAATGCTGATAATTCTGAAGACATTTTTTTGCTTTTATTTACTGACAATTTAAAAGCTAGCTTTATTTACCAAAAATTATTCAGATCACATAAACTTAAAAAGCAATTGGGCTTTTGTACTTTTGAGAGTTTTAGGCATACTTAATGTATGTAAGTGCTTATTTATTTCCAAGCAAATCTAAATATAATTCCTTTTATGCTCATTTGTTTTCTAGCCAATCTAAAAAGAACTCCTTAAAGGGATTTTATAAATTAATTTGGTAATATAATCCAGAGGTAGGAAAGTATCTCATACTTTCATACTCATTTAAAACTCATACTTCTCATACTCATCCAAAACTCCTCTGAGTGGACAAAACATATTTTTGTTTTCAAACAGTTTCTTATTTTCTTTTTGGTCTCAGGTGGTTGTTTTTATGGGATCTTGAGTCCCTTGAAAGAATGGTTCTGAAGTTCAAGTGACTGAACAGGATCTAGAAAGCAAAAAAAAAAAAAAAATGTTTGGCAGGGGTGCCCAGAGAGATGGAGGAGGAAGGGGTTTGAAACAAGACATTTCCAAGTATTCTTGAAAACTGGAGTGCAAAATTATGCCAACAAGAGGGAGGTAGACGGAACTGGTGGATAATTTAGTCAACAGGGGTTCAAAAGAGAGGTTTCATGTGACAGAGAAGTTCACATAGGAGCAGCAGGGTCTAGCAGGGAGAAAACAGAGGTCTCAAGGATGGCTAGAAAGAAGAGATCTCCAGCCCAAGGAGTCAGGGAATAATTCTGACTCAAGAAAAAGACCCAGGAAGAAGAACTACTAGCCCAGGAAGTACCGTTCAAAGAAACCTGGCACTCTAACCCAGCTTCAGAGAGTACATTAGAATTCTTAAGATTAAAAAATCTGTAATTACCATGTCCAATGGACATTTATTCAGAGCAATAGTCTGAATCACCAATAGATCCCCAATCAGTCAGTCAGGACTAATGACAAAGGTTTCACATGTGAACACTTAGAATAAAAAAAATTCAATTACGCTTGTTAAAACATGGTGAGGCAGACCCTATTCAAGATCATCAAAATAAATAGAGAACACTGCAATAAGATTTTGCAGTGGGAGAAAGCAGTTAGGTTTGACACCTAATATAACATGGGGAAAGTGGGAATTTATATCCAAGAAGCAAGATTGGGGTCAATAGATAAAAAATTACTAAGAGAAAACATCAGGGATAATTGGAATTCTAGCTAAACTTTTATAACAGGATTTTTGCTGATGACCAGCCAGGGTAATCAGACATCTCCTGAAGAATGCTGGAGGGTGAGGAACCTGATCATATATTGAAGGTGTTTAGTTACCAATGAGGGTGAAGGTGTTGCTAAACTGACTTAACAGGGTTATTTACTAAAACTGAATTTTATAAGGAAGTGTACAGATGAGCCTAGGACTAAAATTTCCCTTAAAAAATCGTTGTCATTAGTGCTACCAAGGACATAAATGTGCAAAAATCTCTTCAAAAGATTGCTTTCAATTATTTTAGAAATATACCCAAAAATGGTATTGCTGATCTAATCGTAGTTTTTAAAAATTTTTTGAGGCATCTCCATACTGTTTTCCATTGTGGTTGCACAATTTTATCCTTCCCTTATTAATGAACAAGGGTTCAGATATCAATGCTTTCTATTTTCTTCTGTTTCTATTTTTTGTGGTAGAAATCTTAATGGGTATGTAGTAATAAACCAGTGAGGTTTTTATTTGCATTTATCTGGTTATTAGTGATGTAGAGCATATTTTCATATATGTGTTGGTCAGTTGTATATAACTTTTTGAGAAATATTTTCACCAGTCCTCAGCTCATTTTTAAATTGTGTTATTTATATTTTGTTGTTGAGTTGCAAGAGATTTTTATCTATTCTGCAAACTAATTTCTAATTTGATATATGATTTTCAAATATTATCTCCCAATTAGTAAGTTGCCTTTTCACTGTTTATTGTATAGTTTGATGAACAAAGTTAAGTTTGATGTAGTCCTAACTTGACTCCTTTTGATTTTGTTGCCTGTCCTATTGGCCTGTAGGTGTTGTTATGCAATAAATAATTGTCAAATTCAATGTCATGAAGCTTCTCCCCTGTGTTTTCTTCTAAAAATTTTATAGCTTTAAATCTTTTATTTAGGTCTTTAAAACTTTTGTTTTAGTTTAGTTAGTCTATGTTTAAGGTGTATAATAAAGACAACTATAATTTTTGCATAACAATATACTGTTTTAACAATATTTGTTGAAGAGAGTGTTCGAGTGTTCTCTCTCCTTTAAGTTATCTTGGCATCCTTGTCAAAGATCATTTGACCATATATACAAGGGTTTGTTTCTGTGCTCTCTATTGCACCCCATTTGTCAATTTGTTTGTTTTTGTGACAGCACCTCACTTTTTTTCATTATTGCATCTTTGTATAAATTATTAGAATCAGAAAGTGTGAGTGTTTGAAACTTTGTTCTTTAAAAAATGCTTCGGCTATTTGGGATTCATTGATATCCCACACAGAATTGAGAATGTATTTTTGTATCTCTGCAAGAAATCCTTTTGGAATTTTGATAGGGATTGCACTGAATCTGTAGATCACTTTGGGTAATGTTAAATGTTAATATTAAGACTGCCAATCTATGAAGATGAGATTTTTTTTCATTTGTTTTCATCTTCTAAAATTTGTTTCAGAAATGCTCCTTATTTTCATAGTACAAATCATTCACTTCTTCAGTTAAGTTTATTTTTAATAATTTTATTCTTTTTGATGCTATTATAAATAAATTGCTTTTGCTTCCTTTTCAGATTGTTCATTGTTAATGTATAGAAACGTAACTGATTTTTGAGTGCTCATTTTGTATCCTGCAATTTTGTTGAATGCATTTATTAGTTCTAACAATTTTTACGTTGGTGGTGGTGTTGAATCTTTAGACTTTTCTACATATACTATCAAGTCATCTACAAATAGAAAAAAAAATTACCTCTTCCTTTCTATTTGGATGCTTTTTCCCCCATTTTTTTTCGTATTTATTCTGTCTAGGGTCTCCTATATTATGTTGTATAGAAGAAGCAATAGTTAGCAACCTTGTTTTGTTCCTGCTCTTAAAGCAAAAGCTTTTAGTCTTTCACTATGAAGTGTGACGTTAGCTGTGGGCTTTTTATCAATGGCCTTTATTATGTTAAGATGGTTTTCTTCCATTCCTACTTGGTTGAGTGTTTATACTATAAAAGGTGCTTTATCGTGAAAGGGAAGCTCTGCTGTACATGACAAATAACTTTTTCCTTGCTTCTTTGAAGATTCTCTCTTTGTCTTTGACTTTACAGTTTGATTATAATTTGTCTTGTAGTTCTCTTTGGATTTTTTTCCAGTTTAAGTTATTTGTGAGTTTTGAATTTGCATGTCTATTTAATTCTGCAGATTGGGAAGTTTTCAGTTGTAATTTATTCAAATATGCTGTCCTTCTATTTATCTGTTTCTCCTTTGGGAATTCATATTGTGTATATTGGTGTGCTTGATAGTTTCCCGTAATTCCCCTAGGCTCTTTGCTTTCCTCCTTTCTTTTTTTTTTTTTTAATTTTTGCTCGTTTGACTCAATGATTTCAAATGACCTGTCTTCAAGTTCACTTATTCTTTTTTTTTTGTCTTGCCAATTCTGTATTGAACTCTTTCAGTAATTTTTTTATACTTAAATTTTAATATTTTTCAGCCCCAGAATCTTTGATGATTTTTCTGTTTTATCCTTGTTGATATTTTTATTTTTATGCATAGCTCTACTGATTTCATTTAGTTATCCATCTTTGTTTTTAGCTCATTTAACATATTTGACACATTTGAAATTATTTCTCAGGTATCTCATAGATCTGCATTTATTTAAGGTCAGCTTCTGGAATTTTATCTTTCCCTTTAGATTAAGCCATATTTTCTTGTTTCCTTGTAAGTTTTGTAACCTTTAATGATTATTTTGGCAGTTGGAAAGCAACCACCTCTCATAGTTTCTGTGTACTGTCTTTATTTAGAGAAGCCCCTCACCAATCAGCGCAGCCGAAGGTTCTAGGATTTCCAAACCATTCCCATACCTTATTCCACCTGTTGTCATCTGTATAACTGAAGCTCAAAATGTACTGCATACTCACCTCTGCTTTCAGTAGCTTCAAACTCTGACACTAGTCCTTCCAGTGCTTTGAGTGAGGAAAAGCAGAAATTATTCCCTTGGATAAGCCGCCAGTTAATTCTTGACATCAGATACATTTCTATACTGAAGGAAGGGTACTCATGTAGGACATTACCTTCTCATTGTTTCACACTATGCTCTGTCGGGAGACATATGGCCTTGCACTTCAAATGCCTTTCATTTTCCCCTTTGTTTCATAGGAATCTCTTCTTGATTTTGCAGTGGCTTGATCGCTGTAGCTTCTCAAATGGTCATTAGATGTTTTAGAGAAGTATTCTGATCTGTGTTCTTTGTGTGTCTTTTGAGGAAAGAAGGCTGGTAACCTCTTGGTCTGCCACACTGCTGATGTCACCTAATCCAGAAAAAGACTTTGAAATGTCACTGCACTTAAACTTTGAGTTATCTGAGTGTTGGATATCTATGCAATCATTTTTCAGGAAATTCTGAGTATTGATCAAGGATAGGCCTGATTATAATGAAATCATTCCTCTAAAATGTTATAACAGGCAGTATAACATATTGAAGATTATTCGTGCTATAAATAAGGATCCATAAATTCTAGAACTAAGAAGCCATAAATTCTAGCATTAAATTTCATTAAGTTATCTTGGCCAAACCATAGAGTTCCTCTGTGCCAGAGAAGGCTGTAGTATACATTGGAATCTTCTAGATTTAGGCTGAAAAGCATTCCATTCCATTTAGAAGAGTGCAGACTTGAACAAGTCTCTAAATGTTGTCCCCAGTCCAGTAATATTTATTATTATTATTTACAACTTTTGCACAGACTGAAACTGATGTTTTTGTGTGCTGAGTCCTATACATTTTTATCACATTTATAGATTCATGCAACCCTCACCACAATCAAGAGAAAAAACAGCTTCATTATCTCAAAAATTGTCTTTATGCTGCTCCTTTGTATTAAAACCCGTCCTCTGTATTTATTTCCAGGCTACCACTGATCAGTTTGTTTTCTATCACTTTAGTTTTGTGTTTTCCCTGAAGTCATATAAATGAAAGTGATTAATAAGTATCATTTTGAGATTGACTTCTTTTACTCAGCATAATTCTTCTGAGAACCATTTATGCTATTGCATGTATCAATAATCCATCCCTCTTTACTGCTGAGTAATATTCCTCTATATAAATGTACCAGTTTTTTATTTATTCACCCTTTGAAAGACAGTAGTTTCTAGTTTTTGGAAATTATAGCCAAGCTGTTATAAATATTCATATGCAGGTTTGTGTACAAATAAGTTTTTATTTTTCTAGGCTAATACCTGCATAAGGAATTGCTGTGTCACAAAGTAAATACATGTTTAACTTTATTTATAAGAAGTATCTAAATTACATTTGCAAAGTGGCTGTGTTCTTTTGCATTTCAATCAGAAATATATAAAAGTTTCAATTGCTCCTAAACCTTACCAACACTTAGTATTGTTAGTTTTATGTTTAAATTTTAAACATTTTAATGTGTGTAGGGATAACTTAAAATGGTTTCTTTGCATGTTCTAATGATTAGCAATATTAATCATTTTTATGTGCTTTTATGCCATCTATGTATCTTCTTTGATGAAATATCTTTTAAAATCCATTCCTTATTTAAAAACTGGATTATTTTCTTATTATTGTGTTATCAATATAACCTGGATACAATTGCTTTATTAGATATATGCTTAGCAATTTATTTTTCCAGTCTGAGGCTTGTCTTCTCATTTTTTAAATTATGTTTTCCTGAGAGGGAATACTATTATTGTTAATGAATGTAAATTTATTTTTTTATGTATTTTGCATTAGTTGTTATATTTGAGAACTATTCTATGAAACCCAGGAGTGAAATTTCAGTTGAGGTATTTTATTGCACATAATTAATTATTCCAATATAATCTATTGAAAAAGAAGATCCTCAACTTACTGAATTTCTTTTGTGCCTTTGTCAGTAATTAATTGGTCATATTTGTTTACATCCAATTCTGAACTCCAGTTGGTTCTATTTATCAATGAGTTTATTATTTCACTAATGCTGCACTGTATTTATTATTGTAGCTTTATCATAAGCGTCAAAATTGGGTAGTATGAGTCATCTAAAATTATTTTTTAATTATTATTATGCTTTTTTAATCCCTTGCCTTTCTATATAAATTTTAAAAAGAATTCATCTAACCTATAAAATATATGCTAGAATTTTCAGTGAAATTGGGTTTAGTCTATACCTCAATTTGGAAAAAATAAAACCTTAAGTATATTGATTTATTTTATTATTTAATGAACCTGATATGCCTCTTTAGAGTTTTTAAAATATATTTTATCAGCATTTTTCAATCTTCAAAATACAGGTCATGCAAATATTTTATTAGATTTCTACCTAAATATTTTATTTGTGGGGTGCTATTATAAATGGGATTACATAATTTTTAATGCACTTTCTAGTTTTTATTACTCTATATGGAAATATGACTGATTTTATGTGGTTGACTTTGGATCTGTCAAACTTGCTAAAGTTGTTTTAATAGTCCTATGAGCTCTACAGTACATTCCTTGGTATTTATATGCAGATAATCATGTTGTCTCTGAATAGAGATAGTTTATTTCCTTCCATTCTGTGTTAATTTTTTTTTAAGTTTGCCTAATTACACTGGCAAGGCAAGAACTTCCAATACTATGTTGGATAGAAGAGGTGAGACTGGATTTCTGTGCCTTCTATAATTCTAGCTTTATGTTTGCTTGCTTGTCCACTTGTTGTGTATAGGTTCTATTTAAGATGAAGGAAGTTTTTTTCTATTTGTAGGGTGCTAAGAAGTTTTATTATAAATAAAAGTTGAATTTTATCAATTGATTTTTCTGCAGAAATTGACATGACTATGTGATTTTTTTCTTTATTCTGTTAATATGACGGAAAATCAATTATTTTTTAAAAAAACAGACTTTATTTTTAGATCAGTTGTAAGTTCTTAGAAAAATTCAATAGAATGTTAAGAGAATTCCCATATATGATTTGCTCCCACACAGCCCACACATGCACAACATCCTGCTCTATCAATGTCCCACATCACAGTGATACATTTGTTACAATTGATAAATCTATTGACACGTCATTACCCAAAGCCTACAGTTTACCTTATAGTTTACTATTAGTATTTGTCTAATTCTGCTCAGGCTGACATAACAAAATAACTAAAGATGAACTGGCTTAAGCGACACACATTTATTTTCTCAAAGTTCTGAAAGCTGAAAGTCAAGATCAAGTGCCAGCAGGGATGGTTTCTAGTGATGTTTCTCTTCTCAGCTTGCAGATAGCAGCTTCTCACTGTGTCCTCACATGGCTTTTTTCTCTGTGACTGCATGGAGAAAGAGAGAGAGAAACAAAGATATAAATATGGTGCCTCCTTCTCTTATTATAAAGACATCAATCCTATCATATTTAAGCCTCACTCTTAAGACCTCATTTAACTTTAATTACCTTATTAAATAAACTATCTCTAAATACAGTATAATAGAGACTAGGGCTTAAAATATTGAACTTTGCAGCTAATACAATTCAGTCCATAATAGTGTTGTCCATTCTGTTGGTTTTGCCAAATGTATGCATATCAAATATATGAATTAGAATTGTATCTGATATTGTAGAATTATACAGTAGAGTTTTACTTCCTTGGAATTCTTAATGTGATATGCCAATTAATCTCATCCTTCCTCCAACCTCTTACAAACACTGATCATTTTACTATCTTTATAGTTTTGCCTAATTTACAAGTCTTACCATCTCACGCCAGTTAGAATGGCAATCATTAAAAAGTCAGGAAACAACAGATGCTGATGAGGATGTGGAGAAATAGGAATGTTTTTACACTGTTGGTGGGAGTGTAAATTAGTTCAACCATTGTGGAAGACAATGTGGTGATTCCTCAAGGATCTAGAACTAGAATACCATTTGACCCAGTAATCCCATCTAACAGATGTGAGACGGTATCTCATTGTGGTTTTGATTTGCATTTCTCTAATGACCAGCAATGATGAACATTTTTTTATATGTCTGCTGGCTGCATAAATGTCTTCTTTTGAGAAGTGTCTGTTCATATCCTTTGCCCACTTTTTGATGGGGTTGTTTTTTTCTTGTAAATTTGTGTAAGTTCTTTGTAGATTCTGGATATTAGCCCTTTGTCAGATGGAGAGATTGCAAAAATTTTCTCCCATTCTGTAGATTCCCTATTCGCTCTGATGATAGTTTCTTTTGCTGTGCAGAAGGTCTTTAGTTTAATTAGATCCCATTTGTCAATTTTGGCTTTTGTTGCCATTGCTTTTGGTGTTTTCGACATGAAGTATTTGCCCATACCTACATCCTGAATGGTATTGACCAGGTTTTCTACTGGGATTTTTATGGTCCTAGGTCTTACGTTTAAGTCTTTGATCCATCTTGAGTTGATTTTTGTGTAAGGTGTAATGAAGGGGTCCGGTTTCAATTTTCTGCATATGGCTAGCTAGTTTTCCCAACACCATTTATTAAATAGGGAATCTTTTCCCCATTGCTTCTTTTTGTCAGGTTTGTCAAAGATCAGATGGTTTTAAATATGTGGTGTTATTTCTGAGGCCTCTGTTTTGTTCCATTGGTCTATATATCTGTTTTGGTACAAGTACCATGCTGTTTTTGTTACTGTAGCCTTGTAGTATAGTTTGAAGTCAGGTAGCATGATGCCTCCAGCTGTGTTCTTTTTGCTTAGGATTGTCTTGGCTCTACAGACTCTTTTTTGGTTCCATATGATATTTAAAGTAGTTTTTCCTAATTCTGTGAAGAAAGTCAATGGTAGGATCTTTACATGTTACGTTATCCTTATATCTCATAGATATAAAGGAAGAGCTAAATGAATGAGATAGTACGTGTTCATAAACAGAAAGACTCAATATCTTAAAGATGTCCATTATTCCTAAATTTATCTCTAGATTCAATGCCATCCCATTCAAAATTTCAACAATGGCAAGGCCTGATGGCATCCACCTATAATTGCAGCTACTCAGCAGGCCAAGTTTGAAGGAGACATAAGGCGACTCCATATCAAAATCCCAGAAAATTATTTTTTGGTTATGAAAAAACTGACTCTAAGGTTTATATGGAAAGGCAAAAGACCCAGAATACCCAACTTGATATTAAAAAAGGAACAAATATGACTACTGACACTACCTAACTTCAAAACTTCCTATAAAGTTATAATAATCAAGACAGTGATATTCACAAATGACTAGACAAATAGACCAATGGAACATAATAGAGAGCCTGGAAAAGGACATACGTGAATACAGTCAGTTGACCACCAACACAAATGAAAAAACAATATAATAGAGCAAATATAATCGTTTTAACAAATAGTGCTGGAACATCTGGATATCTACATGCAAACAAAAAATAATAATCTAGACACAGACCTCATACTTTTCACAAAAATTAACTGAAAATGCATCACGGACCTAAATATATAATGCAAACTATATAACTCCTAGAGGGTAACATAGCAGAAAATCTAGACGAACAGAGGTATAATAATAACTTTCTAGATACAAAACCAAAGTCACAATCCATGAAGGAAAAAAATGTATAAGCCAGACTTCATTAAAAATTACAAATTTCTGCTTTGCAAAAGACACTATAAAGGAGATGAGAAGATAATCTACAGAATGCAGAGAAAATATTTGTTGAAAGATACATGTTAGATAAAGCACTGTTACCAAAATGTACAAAAAAATGCTTACAACTCTACAATACAAAAAAAAAATTTAAAAATGGGCAAGATAGTTTGAAGTCAGGTAGCTTTTATCTATATATTTTATTATACATAATAGATATTATATAGAATGTATATTTTATTATATAATAGATATTACATAGAATGTATATTTTGTTATATAATAGATATTCTATAGTATATAATATACATTTTAGTATATATTCTATATAATATAGAATATATTTTTTAATATCTATTATTCTAGATAAGTGTATTTATATATGTTATTATATATAATAAAGATATATATTTATATCATATATTATATATAATTATATATATGTGTGTGTATATATATACACTTATCTAGAATTCTGTACCTGGTGATATCTTTCAAAAATGAAGGAGAAATAAAGACTTTCTCAGACAAACACAAATAGAAACTTCCTGCCAGTAGACATGCCTCGCAAGAAACTGTTAAATAAGTTATTTAGGGAGCAGGATAATTATATAGGTGAGAAAGTTAAGTCTACATAAAAAAAAAAGATCATCAGAGAATGAATAAGTTAAATATAAAATTATTTTTTATTCTATATATTTTACTATATATATCCTATATATAGTAAAATATATATTATATATAATAAATATATTTTATTATATAAATAAATATATTATATATAATAATATATTATATATAATAAAAACATATGTTTATTATATATAATAAAATATATATTTATATATTTATAAAATAAAAATATATATTTTATTTCAGTACTTTAAATACAGCACTCCATCTTCTCTTTTTGCTTGCATGGTTTCTGAGAAGTCAGATTTCTTACTTATCCTTATTCCTCTATAGGTAAGATAATTTTTTTCCTCTGGCTTCTTTAAGGATTTTTTTCCTTTATCATTTATTTTATTTTATGCAGTTTGAATATGATATGTTTAGGTGCATAGTTTGCTGCTGTTGTTTTCAACTTATTCTGTTTGATTTTTTCTTAGCTTCCTGGATCTATGGTTTGACGTATTACATTAATTTGGAGAAGTTATCAGTCATTATTTCTTCCAATATTTGTTCTGTTTTTTCTGTCTTCTGCTTCTGGCCTTTACATTGCACAATCAATGTTACACATTTTGCAGTTGCCCCAGCATTTGTGGATGTTCTGTTCTGATTTTCTTTCTTTTCTTTTCTTTTAAATTTAGGAAGTTTCTTTTGCTATATAATTAAGCTCAAAGATTGTTTCCTCAACTGGGTCTAGTCTAGTAATGAGACATTTAAAGGCTTTCCTCTCAGTTAGGTTAGACTCTGATGAAACAGAAGCAGCTTAAGTTCAGGTAAAACAGTTTCTCCTGAGTGCAGTCCTTGTTAAGAAGGAAAGAATATTCTGGCATATTTCAAAAATAGGAAATAGGCCCCATTTTCTTTTTTATTTTATTATTATTATACTTTAAAGTTTTAGGGTACATGTGCACAAAGTGCAGGTTTTTTACATATGTATACATGTGCCATGTTGGTGTGCTGCACCCACTAACTAGTCATTTAGCATTAGGTATATCTCCTAATGCTATCCCTCCCGCCTCCCCCCACCCCACAACAGTCCCCGGTGTGTGATGTTCCCCTTCCTGTGTCCATGCGTTCTCATTGTTCAATTCCCACCTATGAGTGAGAACATGTGGTGTTTGGTTTTTTGTCCTTGCGATAGTTTGCTGAGAATGATGGTTTCCAGTTTCATCCATGTCCCTACAAAGGACATGAACTCATCATTTTTTATGGCTGCATAGTATTCCATGGTGTATATGTGCCACATTTTCTTAATCCAGTCTATCGTTGTTGGACATTTAGGTTGTTTCCAAGTCTTTGCTATTGTGAATAGTGCCGCTATAAACATACATGTGCATGTGTCTTTATAGCAGCATGATTTATAATCCTTTGGGTATATACCCAGTAATGGGATGGCTGGGTCAAATGGTATTTCTAGTTCTAGATCCCTGAGGAATTGCCACACTGACTTCCACAATGGTTGAACTAGTTTACAGTCCCACCAACAGTGTAAAAGTGTTCCTATTTCTCCACATCCTCTCCAGCACCTGTTGTTTCCTGACTTTTTAATGATCGCCATTCTAACTGGTGTGAGATGGTATCTCATTGTGGTTTTGATTTGCATTTCTCTGATGGCCAGTGATGATGAGCATTTTTTCATGTGTTTTTTGGCTGCATAAATGTCTTCTTTTGAGAAGTGTCTGTTCATGTCCTTCGCCCACTTTTTGATGGGGTTCTTTGTTTTTTTCTTGTAAATTTGTTTGAGTTTTTTGTAGATTCTGGATATTAGCCCTTTGTCATATGAGTAGATTGCAAAAATTTTCTCCCATTCTGTAGGTTGCCTGTTCACTCTGATGGTAGTTTCTTTTGCTGTGCAGAAGCTCTTTAGTTTAATTAGATCCCATTTGTCAATTTTGGCTTTTGTTGCCATTGCTTTTGGTGTTTTAGACATGAAGTCCTTGCCCATGCCTATGTCCTGAATGGTATTGCCTAGGTTTTCTTCTAGGGTTTTTATGGTTTTAGGTCTATTACTCCCCTTTTTGTATCTATGTATACTCAATATTTACCTCCTTCTTGTAAGTGAGAAAATTCAGTATTTGGATTTCTCTTCCTGTGTTCACTGAAAATAATGATCTCCAACTCCATTGACTATTTGGGCACTTTTTTTTTTTGGTTCAATATGGATTTTGGAATAGTTTTTTCTAATTCTTTGAAAAATGTCTTTTGTAGTTTGATAGGAATAGCACTGAAACTGTCAATTGTGTTTGACAGAATGGCCATTTTAACAATATAGATTTTTCCTGTCAGTTAGTATGGAGTTTTTGTGTGATCTTCTTTTTATTTCATCAGTGTTCTATAATTCTCATTGTAGAGATTTTTCACCTCCCTGATTAGCTGTACTCCTGGGTTTTTTTTTTGTGGCTATTGTGAATGGGGCTGTGTTTTGATTAGACGATTGGCTTGTACATTGTGGTGTACAGAAATGCAACAGATTTTTGTACATTGATTTTGTATCCTGAAACTCTGCCAAAGATGTTTGTCAGGTCTAGGAGGTTTTGAGCCGAGACTATGGGGTTTTCAAGGTATAAAATAATATCATCTACAAACAGAAATAGTTTGACTTTCTCTCTTTCTGTTTATATGCCTTTTATTTTTTTCCCTTTCCTGATTTTTCTGGCTAGGACTTCCAGTACCATGTTGAATTGGAGTGGTGAGAAATGGCATCCTTGTCTTATTCTGGTTCTCAAGGGAAATGCTTCCAGCTGTTGCCTGTTCAGTGTATTGTTGGCTATGTGTTTGTTAGAGAAGGTTCTTATTTTGACATATGTTCCTTTAATGCATAGTTTAAAGAGGATTTTTAACATGAAAGAAGATTAAATTGTATTAAAGCCTTTTCTGCATCAATTGGGCTGATCATGGGGCTTTTCGCTTTTAGTTCCCTTTATGTGATGAGTCACATTTATTTTTGTACATTAACCAAACCTTGAGTCCCAGGAGTAAAGCCAACTTGCCCATGGTGGATTACCTTTTTGTTGTGTTTCTGGATTCAGTTTGCTAGTATTTTGCTGAGGATTTTCACATCTATGTTCATCAGAAATACTGATTTGAAGTTTTCTCTTGTTGCTGTGACTCTGCCTAGTTTTGGTATTAGAATGATGCTGGCCTCATAGAATTAGTTAGGTAGTGGTCCCTTCTCAATTTTTCTGAACAATTTTAGTAGGATTTGCACCAACTCTTCTTTAAATGCCTGGTAAAATTTGGTTGTGAATCTTTCTGGTCTAGAGCCTTTTCTGGTTGGTCATTTTGTTTTATTACTGATTTAGTTTCAGAATTTATTGGTCTGTTCAGGCTTTCAATTTGTTTTGGCTCAATCATGGAAGGTTGCATGTTTCCAGTTTATCCATTTCTGGTCGCTTTTCTAGTTTGTGTGCATAGAGGTACTTGTAATAGTGTCTGAGAAGACTTTTTGTATTTCTTTGGGTTCAGTAGTCATGTCTCTTTTGTCACTTATAATTGTATTTATTTGAATCATCTCTGTATTTTATTACTCTTGCTAGCAATCTATCAATTATATTTATTCTTTCAAACAACCACTTTTTGGCTTTGTTGATCTTTTGTATGGTTTTTTGTGTTTCAGTTTTCTTTAGTTTAGCTCTCATTTTTATTATTTTTTAATACTAGTTTTGGTGTACTTTTACTGTTCTTTTTCTAGTTTCCCTAGGAGTGATGATAGGTTGTTAATTTGAGACCTTTCTAAATTTTTTATGTGTGCATTTATTGCCATAAACTTTCCTCTTTACACTATTTTAAGTGGTCCCAGAGATTCTGGTATGCTTTATTTTTGTTTTTATTACCTTCAAAGAATTTCTTGATTTCTGCCTTAATTTCATTGTTTACCTAAAAGTCACTCTAGAGCAGATTGTTTGAATTCCATGTAGCTATCTGGTTTTTAGCAGTGTTCTTAGTATTAATTTTTATTTTTACTGCACTGTTGTCTGAGAGTGTGGTTGGTATAATTTTGGCTGTGTAAATTTGTTGAGATTTTCTTCTGGCCAAGGATTTGATCAATTTTAGAATATGGACCCTGTGCAGATGGGAATGTATATTATGTTGTTGTTGAGTGGCTTGCTCTGTAGGTGTCTATTTCTTCCATTTAGTTGAATTTTGAGCTCAGATCCCTAATGGTTTTCTGCTTCAATTACGTGCCTAATATTGTCATTGAGATTTTGATGTCATCTATTATTATTGTGTGGTTATGTTTAGCACTCCCTTAAGGACTTCTTGTGAGGCATGTCTGGTGGTAATGAATTCCCTTAGCGTTTGCTTGTCTAAAAAGGATTTTATTTCTTCTTTGCTGATGAAGCTTAGTTTGGATGGATATAAAATTCTTGTTTGGTATTTCTTTGCTTTAAGAATACCGAAAATAGTCTTCTCCCAATTTCTTCTGGCTTAAAGTCTTTCTGTTGAGAGATGCACTCTTAACCTGACAGGGTTCCCTTTGTAGTTGACCTGCCTTTTCTCTGTAGTTGTCCCTAGTATATTTTCTTTCACATTGACCTTGGAGAATCTGATGACTATGTGTGTTGGGGATGGTTCTCTTGTATGGTGTCTCACAAGGCTTCTCTGACTTTCTTGAATTTGAATGTTGGCCTCTCTAGCAAGTTTTGGAACATTTTAACGGATAATATCCTCACATATATTTTCCAAGTTGCATGTTTTTTCTCCCTCTCTTTCAGGGATGCCAATGTGTCATAGGTTTGGTCTCTTTAAATAATTCTATATTTTTGGAGGCTTTGCTCATTTTTTAATTTTTTTTCTTTATTTTTCTTTAACTGAGTTGATCCAAATAATTGCTTTTTAACTCTGAGATTCTTTCAGCTTGCTCTGTTCTGCCATGAATATTTCTTATTGTACTATAAAATTTTTGTAATGATTTTCCAGTTCTGTATGATAAGTTTGATCCTTTCTAAAAATGGATATTTTTATCTCTTGTTGTGTTTTTTATATATATATATATATATATATATATATATATATATATATATATTCCTTAGATTGGGTTTCAACTTGTTTTGTGAATCTCTGTGGTTTTTGTTGTTTTCCATATTCTGAGTTCTTTCTTTCATTTCAGCCATTTCAGCCTTGTTAAGAACTATTGTTTGGAGTTGGTGCAGTCGTTTGTAGGTAAGAAGATACTCTGACTTTTTGAGTTGCCAGAGTTCTTGTGCTTGTTCTTTCTATTTGGGGTTGATGTTCCTTTAATCTTTGAAGTTGCTGTTCTTTGAATAGTTATTTTTTTCCTTTTATAATATTTGATGCCCTTGAGGGTTTGACTGTGGTGTAAGTTGGGTACATACAACTGGCTTGATTTCTGGATGATTGCAGGACACCATGGCTCAGCTCAGTATTGCTGGTCTGCGTGCTCTACCTCTGAGGGGCTGGGACCAGGCCCATGGCTTTTTTCTCTGGCTTCCTGAAGTTAAGCACCAGCTGTGTCAGAAGGTCAAATATTTTCCTGGTTTACTTGCAATGACACTCCAATGGGGGTGTCTGCAAAAGTGCTTCATCAAGACAGTGGCAACAGGGTTTCAGCTTGCATGCTGTGTATGCCAGTTGTGGTGTGGCAGCATTGTCTGTGTGTGCATGTGTGCCAGAAGTATGATGAGGCATGCATGTGCCAGTGAGAATGGGGTAGAGGCACCTGTGTGTGCGCACACTTTTGCTAGTGGTGGCAATCTTCATCTCTTTTGGGTCCTGTCACTTCCTAGCCTTGAATATTTGGCTAATACCCCCTTTATCTTAGCTTCTGTTTTCTTCTCACTACAAAATAAATTGTGAGTGTTTGTGTGGAAGGTTCTGCAGAGGGATTGGAAAAAATGAGATCATTTTGAAAATTTCTTCTCTGTTATTCCATTCTAGGTTTACCTGGATAACAGCCCATTTTAGTTATACGTAATGGCATTTACTTCTCAGTAAGCCTCTAGTAAGTCTACACAAACCCAAGGCTGTAAATAAATATTAAACAGTAAAAGTGAAAACCTAAAAACTTGCTCTTACTATTGCAATGTAATGGCAGAAATTTGAATGAAGCCAATTTAAATCTTGTGATAAAATTGATGCAGTAAGAATTCTGACCCAATTTTTGACGTCTAAATTAGCAGTTTTAAAAAGCTGTGAAATGCATCATGTTGACTAAAAGGAAACTAAGAAGCAGTGGTCCCAATGTACTTAGTTTTATCCTTTAGATTTTCAATGATGCTAAACTCCTTTGGAATACTAAAGTCGTTAAAATAGAACTGAAGTTCATTCCTACAGCATGCATTTTCTGATTGCTCCCATAATTTTTATTCTTTCTTTTTGCCTTTCCTGTTTTTTGGGGAAGATTATTTGAATATTTTTAATATTTTACCTATTAAATTTTTTACTATGTCTATGATTTTATTAATGGTTGCTCTAGAGTTTAAAATATAAAGACTTTGTAGAGTCAACTTAATAAATATTTTACCACTTCAAGTGGAATGTAGACAGTTTATCATAAAATAAGCCCCTTTACAATTATCCCTTTCTGTTGTATTTGTCATATGTATTACCTGTACATACACTGAAAATTCATCAATGTAACAGTAGTCTCCTTTTATACGCAGTTTTGCTTTTTACAGTTTCAATGACCTGTGGTCAACTATAGTCTGAAAATATTAAGTGGAAAATTCCAGAAGGAAATAGTACACAAGTTTTAAATTGTGTGTCGTTCTGAGTAGCGTGATGAAACCTTGTGTCATCCTGCTCTATTTCAGCAAGGATATAAATTGCCCCTTTTTATAACATATCTATGATGTATATGCTACCTGTTCATTAGTCACTCGATAGCTGTGTTGATTATCAGGTTGAAAATACATAGCATATATAGAGAGTTCAGTATTATCTGTGGTTTTATGCATCTACTGCAGGTCTTAGAACATATCCCTTGGTAATAAGGGAGGATTACTGTACATACTTTGCTTTAACCTGTCATACCTATTTCTTAGAACTTAACAGGGGATTAGACTAATACATTTACTCAGATACTTACTGTTCCTGTTAATCTTTATTTTTGATGTGCCAAGTGTCCCCCAATATCATTGCCCTCTCATATGAAGAACTTTCTTTAACATCTCTCTTTTAGAGAAAAACTGCTGATAAAAAAAATTCTCTTAGACTCCTTTCATGTGAGAATATCTTTTCTCATCTTTATTTCTAAGGTCATTTTCACTGGACGTACAATTATGTGTTGAGAGTACCCAAGTTCCAACATGTTACTCCAGTTATGTTAGCAGTATGGTGGAATAGCAGGTTTCAGTTCTCATTTCTATTCTACAGAAATGCCAATTTTCCAACCACTCACAGATGAGAATAACCTTGTGGAAGCCCCAGAGTTCAGGTGAGAGGTTACAGCACCCTGGTGAGCAAAATATCTAAGAGTGGATATGTTGAAGAGGGTAAAAAAAAGTAGTTTCATTTTACCTAAAACGCTCTTCCCCTGAGGCATTAGAGATCAGTCTCAAGAGAAGCCCCTTCAAATTGAAGATGATAAGAAGAACAGTTTCATTTTACCCACAACAGCTGTCAACCAAGGCAACACAGCTTGCTACTGAGAGAGGCCCCCTCAATCTATAATTTCTCCCACAGGAGAAAGTGAGAGTGAAGTGAACACCTGGTGTGCCCAGATTTGCAGGATGCTTATCAGGAGGCCTGATTATGTCTTATCCCACCCAGAGTACTGAGGGGATTGGTACCTCTGAATTCTCTGGGGGAAGTTAGGAGCAAGATGAAAGGCCTGGAGCTAATAGCAACCTATGTGTGAATCACAGCAGCTAACTATGGATCTTGTCAACTGACCTGTAAACTCCACTAAGAAGCTTTTCCATAAACCCTACAAAACAACACACCTGCAGAATCCCACAATCAGTTTACATATGCCACCATCATTCTCTATGCCACCATGACCAGCACCCCACATGCCCTGGTGCACAGTGCCCCATGTTATTTCTACAGAGGGCATGTACAAGACTTCTCCAATAGCACACAGAGCTCAAAAGCAGGTGTAGATATCATTATCTTGCTCTATTCTGCTGGATTGGGTGAAGGGGTACACTGTTGAACATTTGAGGACAACTTCCTAAGGAAAATAAATAGGAGGTTGTAAGCATCTGGCCTGATTTTGTGGGGTCAATATAAAACACACAATACTATGAATTATTTTTCTAAAATTCAACAAGACGAGTTGAGTTGTCACATGCAGAAAAAAAACAAAGTCTGAGAGATGCCTCAGAATGTCTAGCAATGCTGACTGGTGAAGGTCTTTCTCTCCCAAATCCAGTCAGTAAAGACTTCCAAAGGTGAATACAACTATAAATGAAAAAAAAAGAAAACAGAAATGCAAGGCTTCAAGGACCACAAAGCATGAAGGAAACATGACAGCATTAAAGGAACAAAATAAAGCCACAAGGGCTGGCTCTAATGAAATGGAGATCTATAAATTACCTTAAATATTATTAAAATAATTATCTTGAAGTAAAGTGAGCTATAAAAACCACCAATAGATAACTAAATAAAGCAGAAAAACAGTACATGAGCAAAACAATATGTTGAAGAAAGAAACAGAGATTACTAAAGTAAATTCTGGAGATGAAGAGTAAAATGTCTGAACTTAAAATGTCAATATGCAGCTTGTACAGTAGACTCAATGAAACAGAACTAAAAATCAGCGAACTCAAAGAAAGATCACTTGAAATTATCGTCAAAGGAACAGCAACAAAAAGAAAGAAAATCAGAATGGGGACCTATAGGACTTAAGAAACAACATCAAGGCCGGGCACGGGGGCTGGCTAACACGGTGAAACCCCGTCTCTACTAAAAATACAAAAAATTAGCCGGGCGCGGTGGCAGGCGCCTGTAGTCCCAGCTACTCGGAGGCTGAGGCAGGAGAATGGCATGAACCCGGGAGGCGGAGCTTGCAGTGAGCCGAGATAGCGCCACTGCACTCCGGCCTGGGCGAAAGAACAAGACTCCGTCTCAAAAAAAAAAAAAAAAAAAAGAAACAACATCAAGAAAACAAACTTTCATATTATAAGCACTCCCCAAATAGCAGAGAAAGAGAAAGAGCTACAAAGCATGTTTTTTAAAATAATGATTTTTAAATATTTTCCAAAACCTGGATGAGACCCTGTGAGACCGAAACTATGAAAGCCCAAGAATTCCAAATAGGTTGAACATAAAGATGTTCTCACTGAGACGAGTTACAATAAAAGTATCAAATATCAAAGACAAAAAATAAAGAAAATTTTGAAAGTGGCAAGTGAAAAGTTCCTCATCACATACAAGGGAACCTTTATAACTCTATCAGCAGATTCCTTGGCAGATGTCTTTTCAGGCCAAGATAAATTGGGATAATATATTCAATGTGTTAAGAGGGGAAAAATGGGGTAAAAACTCTGCAAACCATGATGGTGTGTTAACCTCATTCCTGAGTACTGGGCTATTTATGAATGTATTATTATATTTTTGTATGCAGATACTTGCTGGTTGGATTTCTGTGAGTGGGACTGGAACCAGTAAACTCCTATTGTGCCATCTTGATCATGTCTCTCCAGTAAATGAGCTTTTGGAGTGTGTCCACTGTTTGGCTATTATGAATAAACCAAACAAGCTTTGAACATTATTGTACAAATTTTGGTGTTGAGTGATGTTTTCAATTCTATTGGGTATATTTTTGAGAGTGGGATTGCTGGGTCATACTCTGACTCCATGTTTTACCATTTGAGAAACTTCAAGTTTTCCATCTTGGCTCCACAATTTTACATCCCCACCAGCAATGCACAAAAGTTCTAATTTCTCCACACCCTCATCAACATCCTTATTGTCTGACTTTTGATTATAGCCATCATAGTAGGTGTAAAGTATCATCTCATTGTGATTTTAATTTGCATTTCCCTGATGACTAATGATGTTGAGCACCTTTCCATGTGAATTTTGTCATTTCCTTATCTTCTTGGAGAAGTATCTCTTCAGTTTACCTCTCCACTTTTTAATTGGATTATCTGTTTTTGTATAGTTGAGTTGTTGGAGTTTGTTATACGTTATAAATACTATGTCCTTATCAGGTATATGGTTTGCAAATATTTTCTTTTATTCAGTAGATTGTCCACACAATTCTATACCAGATGTGTTGCTTCTCTTATAAAAGAATATTACTTACTAAAATGCTTTCTTTAAATTATATGGCAATGGTTTTTCTCAGAATGACATGTTATATTTGAACATTTTCCTTTAAATAAGTACAGACACATCAGAATGACATAAAATCTGATAGTACCTGTTTTACTTTTTTTCTGCTGTGTACCTAGAGAAGTATATGTATACCTGCCAAAGCATACTCTAGAATATTTATTCTCCCAGGAACCACAGTGGTTCACTTGTTGTGCATTAAGTAGAAAATGTATTAGAGGGAAGTGGATAGTAGGATGGTATAATTCAGTCTCCACAAACCAAAATGGAAGCTGCTAGATGACAAAGAATTTAACCTCATCCACTTTTATATCCAGCAAAATGCAGCATGTTACAAATTAAATATTTGCTGAAGTAAATAGGTCTATCCAGTTCCAGATACGGTGGATTAGCTCATTTTCTAACACTCAGCAGTTGAATAAAATATGACTGAATTTAAATACTTATAAACAAAGTGTTTGAACTCAGGAGGATGAACATAAAAGTATTACTTTCTTCACTCCTTTTTCAAATAACACCCTTGCTTTACCTTTAGCATCTTCTCTCACAACATTCCCCGTTCAAATCACAGAGAAACAATATGAAAAAGAGATACATCTTCAGAAATAAATCTGTTATGGTTACATGTTTCGTGTGAGCCCAAACATTTTTTACACCAACAACAATAAAGATCACTAAGTATTACTAACTCATTTTTTCCTAAATAAAGATTCTACACAAAGCCATGGCCCTCTAAAAATATCCAGATAAGAACTCAAGTGACTGTACTAAAATTATACCACAATAGAAACAACATCAGCCCACACTGGTGAGAAGGAACCAGTGCAAGAACTCTGTAAACTCAAAAACCCAGAATGTCTTCTTTCCACCAAACAACCACAGTATTTCCCCAGGAAGGGTTATTAACTGGGCTAAAATGGCTGAAATGACAGACATATAATTCAGAATATAAATAGAAATAAAGATAATAGACATCCAGGAGAAAGCTGAAACCCAATCCAAAGAATTTAAGGTTTACAGTAAAATGATATGGCAGCTGATATATTAAATAATGATTGGAAGAAAGAATAAAATTGATAAGATAGAGCTGAAAAACACACTACAAAATTTTTATAATGCAATTGCAAGTATTAACAGCAGAATAGACCAAGCTGAGCAAAGAATCTCAGAGCTCAGAGACAGGTTCTCTGCCTGGACATGGAAAGCAGAGGATCACACTGCACTGCATTCTCTGCACAAGGATGGTGGTTTGGCTCAGGCTGCTGCTCCAGGCAAGTGGGTGTTCTGAATGATTGTAGATATGCTTGGGGGTCAAGTGGAGGGGGCCTCACTGCCCCACAATCTGCTGAGGATTGGTTGGGTGGCTCAGACTGTCAATCTTGGTGAGCAGTCGCTCCAAATGACTGAGGATATGTCTGGGCATGTAGCAAAGAGGGTCTCCCTGCACCAGATCTCTGCACAGAAAGATTTGAGCTGATCAGGCTGCTGATCTGGATGAGAAGTTACTTCAAATGCCTGAAGATCTGCCTGGGCATGAAGCAGAGTGGAACACATGTCACCATGGTCTCTGTCCAAATGCCTGGAGATCTGCTGGTGTATGGAGCAGAGAGTTCCCTGCTGCAGCATAATTTATGCAAAGGAAGGATGGGGTGGCTCAGGCTGTTTGTCCAGGAAAGTGGGTGCTCTGCATCCCTAGAGTTCTGCCTGTTGTTGGAGTAGAGAAGGTCCTGCTGTGCACAATCTCAGGGAAGCAGGCTTGGGCACCCAGCAATAACACATGCAGGCCAATTCCTGGTCAGCAATCTGGCCTTGACTGCAACACTCATCACCCTAGAGAAACCACAGCTCCAGCAGCTCTACTCCTGCCACAGGCATGAAACAAGGAAGAGCACAATTTCAGTGCATACAGCTGTGAAGCTTTCCACAATTCTGGCTATGGAGGCTCCTGCCCCACTCCAGAGCAAGTACTTCAATCTTTGGCCCAAATCTAAAATGCTTGCACATCCATACTGCAGGATTGCCAAAAAATGACTTACATTGTATTCACCTGGATTAAAAATAGCATTCTGTTGTCAATCTCAGGTTGCAAAAATCCTGCAGCTTTTCCTAGTGTTTTTCACTTTCAGTGTCTCCAAGGCTCTCCCCACATTTACTCCAGTGATTAGGAGAAGCAAGGTTCTTGATTTTGGCCTCTTTTGCTAAGACCCCTAGTGTAAAGGTGAGTAACAGAGAGAGGCTGTATTAGTGTATTCTCACAATGCTACTAAGAAATGCAGGAAACTGGGTAATTTATAAATAAACAGATTTAAATGGCTCATAGTCCTGATGGCTGTACAGGAAACATGATGCTGGCATCTGCTCAGCTTCTTGGGAGGCCTGAGGAAACTTACAATTCTGATAAAAAGTGAAGGGGAAGCAGAGATGGCACATATCCAGAGCAGAAGCGAAAGAGAAAAGGAAAAGATTCTATGTCCTTTTAAATTACCAGATATCATGAGAACTCACCAAATATCACGAGGACAGTACCAAGGGGACAGTATTAAATCATTCATGAGAAATCTGCTCCAGGATTCCATCAGCTTCTACCAGGCCTCACCTCCAACATTAGCTATTATGTTACTATGTTTCAACGTGAGATTTAAATGGGGACATACCTGCAAATTATACCAGAAACTCTCTGCTTCTATCATATTCTGGGGTTCCACCTACTTTTATCAGCCAGATGCCATCATTGGGGCTCTTTGCCCACGATCTCCTCTCTGGGATCTCAGTTGTCTTTCTCTATTCCAGTGGATTCCCATTTTCCTTCTTGAATTAAAGCACACAGAGTTGATGTTATGCACTATTTTGCCATTTCCAGGTGGCTGAGGCATGCAAAAGGCTCTAATCTTCCCTTTTTGAAAATAAACAAAGATTTGTGTTTTAGACTGTTCCTCCTGGTGGCAGTGTGAGCAGATTGGAAGCAGTAAAATGTATATATAAAAGAAACAATTAAAAACTGATGAAATATTCCAGGAAACTGATAAAAGTAGTTTGAAATAAAGCGTTATTTTTGGGATAGATTTAAAGGATTTTAAGACTGTAGAATAGACAGTACAAAGTGATTAATTTGATATGAAAAGTGTGAGAAAGAAATGGATATGGATTCTCAGTTTACTTGGGTTATAGAACGTAAGAGGAAAGAAAATTCCAGATAAAAGGATAAGCAAAATAACACTAAGTTTTAGTCAAATGGAGTTCCAAATGTCAGAATAAATTAATAATTTACTTTGACAGTCATAAATATTTAAGCTGAAGAAAACTAACATTCATCTGGTTGACATTTCCATTTCACCATAGAGAAAACTGAGGCCCAGAAAAAAATAAAATAAAATTATACAGCTAGCTAGTGACAGACCAATGACTAAAACCTAAAGTTATTGGCTGGCAACACACTGCCAACAGGTATAGCTTTAAAGATATTAACTCAATTTCTTTTTTTTATTTCCATAGGTTATTGGGGAGCAGGTAGTGTTTAGTTGCATGAGTAAGTTCTTTAGTGGTGATTTGTGAGATTTTGGTGCACCCATTACCCAAGCAGTATACACTGCACCATATTTGTAGTCTTTGATTCCTCACTCCCTTCCCACCCTTTCCCCCTGAGTCCCTAAACTTCATTGTACCATTCTTATGCCTTTGTGTCCTCAGCTTAGTTCCCACTTATGAATGAGAACATATGATGCTTGGTTTTCCATTCCTGAGTTGCTTCACTTAGAATAATAGTCTCCAATCTCATCCAGGTTGCTGTGAATGTCATTAATTTATTCCTTTTTATGGCTGAGTAGTATTCCATTGTGTGTGTGTATATATATATATATAAATATACATATACATATATAGTATTCCATTGTGTATATGTATATATATACATACAATGGAATATATATGTGTGTGTGTGTGTGTGTATCTCAGTTTCTTTATCCACTCATTGATTGATGGACATTTGGGTTGATTTCATGTTTTTCTTTTTTTTTTTTTTTGAGACAGAGTCTCGCTCTGTCGCCCAGCCTGGAGTGCAGTGGCACGATCTCGGCTCACTGCAAGCTCCACCTCCCGGGTTCATGCCATTATCCTGCCTCAGCCTCCTGAGTAGCTGGGACTACAGGCACCCGCCACCACGCCTGGCTATTTTTTTTGTATTTTTAGTAGAGACGGGGTTTCACCATGTTAGCCAGGATGGTCTCAATCTCCTGACCTTGTGATCCGCCCGCCTTGGCCTCCCAAATGGTTTCATGATTTTGCAATTGGGAGTGGTGCTGCTATAAACATGCATATGTATATTTTTCGTGTAATGACTTATTTTCCTCTGGGTAGATATCCAATAGTGGAATTGCTGGATCAAATGATTGTTTTACTTTTAGTTCTTTAAGGATTTTCCACATTGTTTTCCATAGTGGCTCTACTAGTTTACATTCCCACCAGCAGTATAAAAGTGTTCCCTGTTTACCTCATCCATGCCAACATCTACTATTTTTTATTATGGCCATTCTAGTAGGAGTAAGGTGGTATTGCATTGTGATTTTAATTTGCATTTCCCTGATCATTAGTGATATTGAGCATTTTTGTATATTTATTGACCATTTTTATATCTTTTTTTGAGAATTATCTATTCATGTCCTTAGCCATGATGAGATCGTTTTTTCTCTTGTTGATTTCTTTTAGTTCCTTTGTAGATTCGGGATATTAGTCTTTTGTTAAAAGTATAGATTGTGAAGATTTTTTCCCACTCTGTGGGTTTTGTGTTTACTCTTCTGACTGTTCCTTTCACTATGCAAAAGCTCTTTAGTTTAATTAAGTTCCCGCAATTTATCTTTGTTTGTATTGCATTTGCCTTTGGGCTTCTGGTCATGAAATCTTTGCCTGAGCCAATGTCTAGAAAGGTTTTTCCAATGTTATCTTCTAGAATTTTTATAGTTTCAGGTCTTAGATTTAAGTCTTTAATCTGTCTTGAGTTGATTTTTGTAAAAGATGAGAGATGAGAATCCAGTTTCATTCTCCTACATGTGGCTAGCCAATTATCTCAGCACCATTTCTTAAAAAGGGTGTCCTTTCCCTGCTTTATGTTTTTGTTTGCTTCGTCAAAGATCAGTTGGCTGTATTTGGGTTTATTCAAAATGAGCAATGAAGAGAGCCAGCTCAAAACTGTTTTTGCATTTTTTCTTTATACAAAAACCCTTCTAAATAACATAATAACAATGCTGAATTATCAAAAAGTAAATTAACACTGTGGTAGAGGATAGTATTTCCTCTTTATGTGGATTTATAAATCTGCATAAAATAATACTTCTGATGGGATTGCCTCTATTAACTTACAAATGCCTTTAAAACTTTAAGATGACCTTCAAGTACAGGAGTGTTTCACTTCTGTCTGTAAACTTTTGTTCAGAAATTACTAATGGTAAAATTGTTAAGCATATGTACAGCAAGTAATGCACATAGATTTACAACAGTCTCTTTTCAGCCTTACTGAGGTAAAATTGACAAAATTTGTGTATGTTTAAGGCATATAAGTGCTATTTTGATATACAATACACTGTGGAATGATTACCACAATAAAGCTAATATTTATATCTATCATTTCATATAGTCTTTTAGTGATGATAACACGTAATATCTTCTCTTTTGTCAACTTTCAGGTATACAATACATTATTAACTATCATCGTCACTTGGCCATGCATTAGGTCTCCAGGACTTTTTTATCTTATAACTTCAAGTTTGTACCCTGTAACTAACATCACCCCATTCCCTCATCTTAGTTTGTTTGTGCTGCTATAACAAAATACCTGAGACAGGGTAATATATAAACAGCATTTTTATTTTCACAGTTCTAGACACTTGGAAATCCAAGTTCCAGGTGCCAGCAGATTCAGAGTCTGATTAGGGCCCTGGCCTCCCCTTCAAAAATGGTATCTTATTGCTACATTCTCTAGATGGGAAGAATGATGTGCTCTCATATGGCAGAATATCGAAGGATAAAAAGGGAACAAATGCTGTGTCCTCAAATGGCAGAAAACCAGAAGAGGATAAACCAACTCCCTCAAGCCCCTTTATATGGGGACTAATCTCACCCATGACAACTCTGCTCTCATGAGTTAATTACCTTCTAAAGGTCACCCTTGTTATTACTACATTGACCATTATAATAACTCAACACATGAGTTTTGGGGAATACATTCAAACCATAGCATCCCCCATGCCTGTCTCCTACTAACAAACATTCTACTCTTTGGTTCTATAATTTTGACTTTTTGGATTCTATGTGTAAATGAGTTAATGCAGTGTAGTGTTGTTACTTTTTTTCTTTTTCTTTTTCTTTTTCTTTTTTTAATGCATATGCCTTATTTCACTACACATAATATCCATGAGATTCATCCATGTTGTTACAAACAGCAGGATATTTTTTGAGATGGAGTCTCACTCTGTTGCTCAAGCTGGAGTGCAGTGGCACAATCTCGGCTCACTGCAACCTCCGCCTCCCGGGTTCAAGCGATTCTCCTGCCTCAGCCTCCCGAGTAGCTGGGACTACAGGCACACGCCACCATGCCCGGCTAATTTTTGTATTTTTAATAGAGATGGGGTTTCACTAGGTTGGCCAGGCTGTTCTCGAACTCCAGACCTCATGAACTGCCCGGATCGGCCTCCCAAAGTGCTGGGATTACAGGCATCAGCCACTGCACCCAGCTGGATTTAATTCCTTTTAAGAATGAATAATATTCCCTTGTCTGTATGTGTGTTTGTGTGTATGCATATATCTCATATTTTCTATATCTGTTCATCCATCAGTGGCCACTTAGGTTGTTTCTATATCTTCACTATTCTGAATAATGCTGCAATTCAGTGGGAGTGCAGATACATACCTGTTGAAGATAGTTATTTTATTTCCTTTGGATATACATGCAGAAGTGGACATGCTGTATCATATGGTACCTCTATTTTTAGTTTTCTGAGACACCTTAATACTGTTCTCCATAATGCTTTTACCAATTATAATATATAAAGGTTCTCTTTTCTTTATATCTTTATCAACAATTGTTAAATTTTGACTTTTTTGATGCGAACCATCCTAATAGGTATGAGGTGATAGCTCATTTTGGTTTTGATTTTCATCTCCTTGATGATTAATGATGTTGAGTGCATTTTCATATGCATGCATGTCATCTATGTCTTCTCCATAAAAAAATTTCTGTTCAGGTTCTTTGCCCATTTTTAAATTTGTTTGTTTTTTGGCTATTTAGTTATGAGTTTCTTACATATTTTGAATATTAACCATTTATCAATCATATGGTTTGAAAATATTTTCTTCCATTCCATGGGCTGGCTTTTTATTTTGTTGACTGTTTTGCTGTGCAGAAACTTTTTAGTTTGATGCAGTCCCGCCAGTTTTTGCTTTTGCTGCCTGCACTTTTAGTGTAATATCCAAAAGTCATTGCCAAAAACAATGAAATGGAAATTTTTCTCTATGTTTTATTTCAGGAGTTTTATGGTTTCAGGTTCCATATTTAAAATTTTAATTCATGATGAGTCACTTGTTGTGTATGGTGTAACATAAAAATCCATTTTATTTTTGCAAGTGAATGTCCTATTTTGCCAATAATATTTATTGAAAAGGCAATGCTACTTCTACAAAAAAAGCACCGGGAAATATCTCCAAAACATTGGTCTGAGCAAAAATTTATTGAGAAATACCCCACAAGCACAGGCAATCAAAGCAAACATGGACAAATGGGATCATATTAAGTTGAAAAGCTTCTGCAAAGCAAAGGAAACAATCAACACAGTGATGAGACAACTCATAGAAGGGGAGAAAATATTTGCAAACTACCGCCCTGACAAGAGATTAATAACCAGACTATATAATGAGCTCAAGCCCCTCTATAGGAAGAAAATTTTATAATCAAATAAAAAATGAGGAAAATATTTGAATGGGCATTTCTTAAAAAAAAAGACACACAAAAGGCAAACAGGTATATGAAAAGGTACTCAACATCATTGATCATCAGAGAAATGCAAACCAAAACTAAAATGAGATTATCTCACCCCAGTGAAGATGGTATATATCCAAAATATAGGCAATAAAAAACACTGGCAAGAATGTGGAGAAAAGGGAACCGTTATACAGTGTTGGTGGGAATGTAAATTACTTCGACCACTATGGCGAACATGTCAGAGGTTCCTCAAAAAACTGAGAATAGACTACCGTATGGACAAGCAATCCCACTGCTGGGTATATATCCAAAAGAAAGGAGATCAGGGTATTGAAAAGATATCTGCAGTCCCATGTTTGTTGCAGTGCTGTCCACAATAGCCAAGGTTTGGAAGCAACCTAAGCATCCATCAACAGATAAATGGAAAAAGAAAGTGTACGCAACACAATGGAGTACTATCCAGACATTAAAAAAAAATGAGATCCTGTCATTTGCAATAACATGGATGGAACTGGAGATCATTATGCTAAGTGAAATAAGTCAGGCACAGAAAGACAAACATTGCATCTTCTCACTTATTTGTGGGATCTAAAAATCAAAACAGTTAAACTCATGAACGCAGAGAGTAGAATGATGGTTACCAGAGGCTGAGAAGGGTAGTCGGGGCGGCGGGGGAGGTGTGGTGGGGAGGTGGGGATGGTTTGGATGTACACAAAAATAGAAAGAATAAATAAGACCTACTATTTGATAGCACAGCAAGGTGACTATAGTCAATAATAACTTAATAGTGCATCTTAAAATAACTAAAAATGTATAATTTAATTGTTTGTAACACAAGGTATAAATGCTTGAGGAAATGAATACCTTTCTCCATAATGTGCTTATTATACTTTGAATGCCTGTATCAAAACATCTTATGTACCTCACAAATGTATATGCCTACTATGTACTCACAAAAATTAAAAAATTGAAAACTTTTTATTAAAGTTTCCTTTTCTATGCAAATTACCAACACCTGTTATTTTTGTCTTTTTAAACATGGACACTAACTGGGATAATAATATCTCATTGTGGTTTTGATTTCCATTTTCCAGATAAATAATGATGTTGACAATTTTTTCTTATATCCATTGACTATTAGTATGATAGCCATCTTCTTTTAAGATGTGTCTATTTAGAGAATGTAACACATGTTGATAAGGTTATTTGTTCATTTTTTTCCATTGAGATTTTTGAGTTTCTTGTATGTTCTGGATATTGTTCTCTTGACAGATAAATAGTTTTCAAATAGTTTCTCCCATTCTATAGATTGTCACTTCAGTCTGTTGATTGTTTTCTTTGCTGTGCAAAATCTACTCAGTTTAATAAAGTCCCACTGGTTTGATTTTTTTAAATGTCAACCTTTCTTTTAGATATTATGTGTACATGTGTAGACTTGTTACACTGGTATATTGTACCCAGGTAGTGAGTATAGTACACAATAGGTAGTTTTTCAACCCATGGCTCCCTACTTTCCTCACTACTCTAGTAGTCCCCAGTGTTTATTATTCCCAAGGTTATCCATGTGTGCTCAATTTTTACCTCCCACTTGTAAGTGAGTACATGTGGTATTAGGTTTTCTGTTCCTGGATTGATACCCTTAGAATTATGGCCTCCAGCTCCAACCATGTTGCCACAAAGAACATGATTTTACATTTACTGCTGTGCAGTATTACACAGTGCATATGTATCACATTTTCTTTATGGAATTCACCATTTATAATCACCTGGGTTGATTCCATGTCTTTGCTATTGTGAGTAGCATGCTGATGAACATATGAGTGCATGTGTCTTTTTGGTATAATGATCTGTTGCATTTTGGATATATGCCCAGTAATAGGATTGCTCGGTCAAAAGGCAGCTCCCTATTAGGTTCTTTGAGAAATCTGCAGACTGCGTTCCACAATGGCTGAACAAATTTACATTCCCACTAGCAGCGTATAAGCATTCCTTCTTCTCTGCAACCTCACTAGCATCTATTATTTTCTGATATTTTACTAATAGCCATTCTGACTGGTGTGAGATGGTATCTCATTGTAATTTTGATGCATTTCTCTAGTGATTAGTGATGTTGAGCATTTTCTCATATGCTTGTTGGCCATGTGTACATCTTCTTTTGAAAAGTGTCTGTTCATGCCTTTTGCCCATTTTAATGGGGTTATTATTTTCAGGTTGATTTAAGTTCTTTATGGATTCTGGATATTAGACTATTGTCAGATGCATAGTTTGTAAATATTTTCACTCATTCTCTAGGTTCCTGTTTACTCTGTTGATACTTTTGCTGTGCAGAAGCCTTTTAGTTTAATTAGGTTCTGTTTACCACTTTTTTGTTTTCGTTGCAACTGCTTTTGGGGATTTACCCATAAATTCTTTGCCAAGGCCAACATCAAGAGGGGTATTGCTTAGATTTTCTTCTAGGACTTTTATAATTTCAGATTCTACTTTTAAATCTTCCATATTGATTCAATTTTGTTATATGGTGAAATTTAGAAAACCGTTTTAATTTTCTTCCTATGGCTAGCCAGCTGTCTTATCACTGTTTATTTAATATGAAGTCTTTTCTCTATTGCTTATTTTTCTCAGCCTTGTTAAAGAACAGATGGTTGTGTAACTGCCCGAGGGGTTCTTCCTGCTGACTGCATAAAGAAAGACCACAGCATTGTAGTAGAGAAAGAGTTTCATAGACATGAATCCAGCCACGCCATGTGGAAGACAGAGTTTCTGTTCAAATCATCTCATTTGAGGCTCCTAGGTTACGGGCTTTTCAAAGGCAGTTTAGGGGAAGGGTTGGGGGTGACCAGGTAACAGGTGCTTACTGCTTATTGGTTGGGGCAGAGATGAAATCATGGGAAGTTTATGCTGTCCTCCTGAAGTACTTCTGGATGGGGCGACAGGAGTGGGATTGGCAGTCCAGGTGGAGCCATGGGTGTCAGACATGCAAAAAACTTGGAAAGATATCTCCAAAGGCCAATCAACAATAGTTGTTTTATTTACAGGAGTAATAGGGGGAATTGCATATATTATAACCTCCAGGGTAATGGCTGACAATCATTTATGTCTGCACCTTAGCAGGTTCCTCTCCTCTCCTCAGCCTGATGGCTTCCCATCACTTTACAAAGTGATTAAGTTTGGGGCAAGACCTATTATCATTTAAACTGTAGCCTAAATGTCTTCCAAAGTTAGCTTGGCCCAATAGCCCAGTGATAATTAAGGACAAGGGAAGATGTGGGGGTAGGTTAGTTTAGCTTAATTTTTCTCACTAATATAATTTTTGCAAAGGCAGTTTCATTTAGGGTCCTTTTTAGTTTCATACAAATTTTAGAATATTATATTTTTCTAATTCTGTGAAGAATTACATTAGTAGTTTTAACAGGAATAATACTGGACCTGTAAAATGCTTTGGGCAATATGGTCATTTAAAATATATTGACTCTTCCAATTCATGAGAATGAAATGCTTTTCTGCTTATTTATATTATTTCTAATTTTTTTCAGTAGTGTTTTGTAGTATTCTTTGTAGAGATATTTCATTTCTTTTGTTAGGTATATCCCTAAGTATTGTATTTTCTTTGTTGCAATTGTAAATGTGATTGTGTTACTGGTTTTAATCACAGCCTGTGCATTATTAGTGTATAGAAATGATCATGATTTTGAACATTGATTTTTCTATCCTGAAGCCTTACTAAATTTGTTTATTAATTCTAGTAGCCTTTTGGTGGAGTCTTGAGGGTTTTCTAGATATAGTATCATAGTTCAGCTTCTTCTTTACCTATTTAGATGCCTTATATTTCTTTTTCTTGCCTGGTTGCTTTGGCTAGGATTTCCAGTATTATGTTGAATAGATTCAGAGAGAGCAAGAACCCTTATCTTCTTCTAGTTCTCAACGACTGGTTCCAGGTTTCACCCATGCAGTATGATGTTGGCTGTGGTTTTGTCAGATGGCTCTTACCCCATTTTGAGGTATATTCATTCTATGCCTAGTATTGAGGGGTTTTATTAGGGAAGGGGTGTTGGATTTTACTTAAAAATTTTTCAGAGTCTATTGAGATGATTGTAAAGTTTTTGCTTTTAATTTTGTTTATGTGGTGAATCACATTTATTGATTTGTTCATGTTGAACCAGTCTTATATTCCAGAAGTAAAGACTACTTGATCATGAAGTATTAAGTGTTTGATGTGCTGCTGGATTTGATTTGTTAGTATTTTGTTGAAAATTTTTGTGTCTAAGTTATATTTTTGTGTCTAAAAATAATGGCTTCAAATTTTCTTTTTTACTGTGTCTTTGCCAGATTTTTGTATTAGGGTGATGCTAGCTTCATAGAATGAGTTAGGTAGGAGCCTGTTCTTCTCAAATTTTTGCAATAGTGTCAATAGAATTGGCTTAGTTCTTTGTATGTGTTGTAGCATTCAGCTGTGATTATCAAATCCAGGGCTTTTTTTGGGTGGTAATTTTTTTTAAGCAAAAGCAAGTTTATTAGGAAAGTAAAGGAATAAAGAATGGCTACTCCATAGGCAGAGCAGAATGGTTGGTAAATTTTTTATTACTGTTTCAATTTCAGAGCTTGATATTAGTCTATAAAGGGTTTCAATCTCTTCTTGAATCAACCTTGGAAAATTATGTGTTTCCAAGAATTTGTTCATTTCCTCTATATTTTCTAGTTTTTGTACATAGGGTTACTCATAGTATTATCTAAGAAACTTTTGTCTTTTTATGGGCTTGGTGATGTCTTTGTCATTTCTAATTTACTTATTTGGATCTTTTTTTTCCCCTGGTTAATTTTAGCTCATGGTCTATGAATCTTGTTTATTTTTTCAGAGAAACTACTGTTGGTTTTATTTATCTTTTGTATGGATTTTTGCATCTCAATTTCATTCTATTCTTCACTAATTTTAGTTATTTATTTTCTTCTGCTAGATTTGGCTTTGCCTTGTTCTTTTTCTCTAGTTCTTTTAGTTGAAAAGTTATATTGTTAACTTGAGACCTTTTTAACTTTATGATGAAGGTGTTCAGTGTTATAAACTTTTTTCTTAATACTGCTTTAGTTACATCCCAGAGATTTTGGTAAATTCTGTCGTTATTAAATTAATTTCAAAGTTTATTTTTAAATTTCTTCCTTCATTTAGATGTTCACTCAGGAGTTATTCAAGGGTAAGTTTTTAAATTTCCATATATTTGTGTAGTTTGGAGCTATCTTCTTGATACTGATTTTTTTTTTTTTTTTTTTGAGACAGGCTCTCTCTCTGTCACTTAGGCTAAAGTGCAGTGGCACAATCTTGGCTCACTGCAACCTCTGCCTCCTAGACTCAAGTAATCTTTTCACCTCAGCCTCCCAGTAGCTGGGACCACATGTATGTGCTACCATAGCTAGCTAATTTTTGTATTCTTTGTAGGGATGGGGTTTCACCATGTTTCACAGGCTGGTCTTGAATTCCTGGACTCAAGCTATCCTCCCACGTCAGCTTTGAAAAGTGCTGGGATTACAACATGAGCCACCACTCCTGGCCTGATTTCTGTTTTTATTGCACGGTAGTCTGAGTGTGTACTTGGTATGATTTCATTTCTTTTCAATTTATTGATAATTAATGATGGAATGTATGGACTATCTTAGAATATGTTATGTGCACAGATGCACAGATGAGAAGAATATATATTTCATAGTTGTTGGGTGGTGTGTTCTGTAGATGTCTATTAGGTTCAATCAGTCAAGTGTCAAGTTTAAGTCCGGAGTTTCTTGGTTAGTTTTCTACAACGATGAAATGTTTAATGCTGTCATTGGAGTGCTGAATTCTCCTCTTATTAAACTGTGGTTGTCTAAGTCTTTTCATAGGCCAAGAAAAACTAGTTTTATGAATGTGGTTGTTCCAAATTTTTTGTGTTTATATTTTGGATAGTTAAGGCTTCTTGTTGGATTTTAGCCTTTATAATTATGTAATTCCTTTCTTTATCCCTCTTAACTTTTATCCCTCTGTTTAATGTTATATATAAATAGAGATTACTCCTTTTTGGTTTTTCCTTTGCATGAGAGATCTTCCTCCATCTTTTTACTTTCAGGCTGTGAGTGTCATTACTTGTGAGGTTGGTCTCTTGAAGACAATAGATTGTAGAGTCTTTTCTTTTTATCTAGCCTGTCACTCTATACCTTTTAAGTGGGGCATTTTGCCCATTTACATTCAGAGTTAGTATTGATATATGAGACTTCGATCCTGTCATTCTGATGTTAGCTGATGTTAGGTAGACTTGATTACATGATTGCTTTGTAGCACCTGTAGGCTATGTCCTTAAGTGTGTTTTTTGTGTTAGTAGGTGTCATTTTTTTATTCCACATCTAGCACTCCTTTAAGGATCTTTTATAAGTCTAGCTTAATTGAAATGAATTCCCTCAACATTCTCATGTCTGAGAAACATTTTATTTCTTCTTCACATTTGAAGCTTAGTTTGGTGAAATATGAAATTCTTGGACAGAATTCTTTTTCTTTAAGGATGCTGAAAATAGGCCCCCAGTCTCTTCTAGCTTGTGAGGTTTATCCTGAGAGATCTGCTGCTAGCCTTATGAGGTTCTTTCTGTATATGACTTGATCTTTCTCTCTAGCTGCATTTAATGTGTTTCCTTCTTTGTGCATATTGATGGATCTGATGATTATGTGTGGTTGGGATAGTCATTTTGTTGAGTACCTAGCCAGGGGTCTCCTTATGTTTTGGATTTTCACTTTAATTTCTCTAGTGAGATTAGATAAATTTTCATTGATGTTATACTAAAATATATTTTCTTAATTGTTTATTCTTTCTGCTTCTCTCTCAGGAATGTTGATGAGTGATAGATTTGGTCTCTTTACATAACCTCATATTTCTCAGATGTTTCACTATTTTATAAAATTCTTTTATTATTTTGGTCTGACTGTTGATTCAAAGAACTAGTCTTCAAGCTCAGAGATTTTTTTCTCAGCTTGGACTCTTCTATTCTTAATAATTCTGATTATATTATGAGATTTTTAAAAATTGTTTTGTCCTAAAAACTCAGTTTTTTTTTTCTTAAAATGGCCATTTTGCCTATCAGCTCTTAGATAATTTTATGGGTTTCCTTGGATTCCTTGGAATGGGTTTCAGCTTTCTCTTCGATCAGATTAGCTTCCTTGCTATCCAGATTCTTAATTGTATGTCTGTCATTTCAGTCATTCCTGACTGGATAAAAGCCATTGCTGGGGAGCTACTGGACGAATTTGGAGGTAAGGGGACCCTGGATTTTTTCATTTTCAGCATTCTTGTGCTGATTCTTTCTCATTTGGTGGGCTGGTGTTCCTTTAAATGTAGCATAAGTTGGACATAGTCACTTGGTTTTATTTTTAGATATTTTCAGAGGACCAAGGCTCTGTGAAGGCTCTTTGTGGCAGAATTATTCCTCTTTTATTCATAGGAGGGTATATAAGCAAAGCATTTTTGTTGTTGTAGTTGGTGTGCAATCCAGTAGATGGTGTGTAAAAGTAATTCTTGGTAGATAGGCTCTAACTCAGCCACTTGGCTCCATCCTATTTCCTCACATTTGCAGGCATGCTGTGTTGTGGGGTGGAGAAGAAAGATGACTCCTTCTCCAGGTCTACCCCTGAACCTTGGAGAAGACTCCTTCAATCACTGGTACTGCACCTACATTTCTTTTATTAGGTATTTCCAGAGAAATACAGGGCTACTAAATTGAAATGATGAACCAGAATTGAGACCATTGTGCTGTGGGCCCAAGCCGGGAAGCCCTGCCTGGTGAAGTGCTGGGAGGAGGCTACTCACAGGGAAGGCAGCCTGGCCACTTCTCCATAGGGTGACTGCAATGTGCTGAAATCAAAATTTTTGTCCTCCCCACTGGCCCAGGAATAGGAATCATGGGTACCACAGCTTTGGCAGTGACAGAGGGTCTGTCAGTTGTCTGTAGGTTCTCTACCCAAAATAAATGCAGAGTTATGGCTGAGAAGAATAATCAGCCAGGGTTGGGCAGCTGTGCTGTTAGCCCAAACCAGGGGGCCCTGCCTGCCTGAGGCACCTGAGTAGGTCAGGTGCCTCATGTGGAATATAGTCTGGCCTCTTCTCAGTAAGATGCCTGCAGCAAGCTTGAGGTGGTAGCCCCATTTGCCTGTTTTTAATTGTGTTGTCTGTACGTTTGAGTTCTTACATGTAAAATCTTTGCCTAGACCAATGCTTTGGAGTGTTTACCCTATGTTTTATTCTAGTACTTCTAATGTTTTTCTTTTAATTTGACTTTTATTTTAGGAACAGGGAGTACATGTGCAGATTTGCTACATGAAAATATTTGAGTGACGCTGAGGTTTGGAGTATGACTCCCATCACCCAAGTAGTGAGTATAATACTCAATAAGTAGTTTTTTAACCCACCCCATTCCATCTCTCCACCCTCTTCTAGTAGTTTTATAGTTTCAGTTTTTATACTAAAGTGTTTAATCCAGCTTGAACAGACTTTTTTGTTATGATGAGAAATAAAGTCAAGTTCCATTTTTACATATGGATATCCAGTTTCCTGAGCACCATGAATTGAAGAAGATGGCCCTCTCTAGTGTAAGCTTTTGGCCCAGTTGTCAAATCTCAGTTGTCTATAAATGGATGGACTTATTTCTTATTCTCTATTCTGTTTCATTGGTCTATGTGTTTGTTTTTATAACAATATAATGCTGTTTTTTTCCTATGGTCTTGTAATATATTTTGAATACAAGTATTGTGATACCTCCAGCTTTATTTATTGCTCGTAATTGTTTTTCTACTTAGGTTATTTTTTGGTGTTATACAAATTATATAATTATTTGAGCTATATCTCTGAAAAATGATGTTGGCATTGTAATAGTAAAAATTCGTGTAATAATTTAGTGTAAAACTACACTAAATTTGTAGTTTGCTTTGGGCTGTGCATTAGTTCGTTTTCACATTGCTATAAGGAACTACCTGAGACTGAGTAATTTATAAAGAAAAGAGGTTTAATTGACTCACAGTTCTGTAGCTTGTACAAGAAACATAACTGGAAAAGTCTCAGGAAACTTACAATCATATTGGAAGGAGAAGGAGTGAAAGGGAAGCTGACATGTCTTACATGGCCAGAGAAGGAGAAAGAGAGAACAAAAGAGGAAGTGCTACACACTTTTAAACAACAAGAACTCATGAGAACTCACTCACTATCACAAGAAAAGAAAGGAAGATATCCGTCCCCATGATTCAATCACCTCCCCCAAGGCCCCTCCTCCAACACTAAGAATTATAATTCAACTAGAGATTTGGGTGGGGACACAGAGCCAAGCCATATCAGACTGTGTGGTCATTTTAATGGTATTAATTGTTCTGATACATGAGCAAAGGGCGTATTTCTATTTGTCTGTGTCATCTTTAATTTCTTTGTTCACTCACTCATTATCACAAGAAAAGCAAGGAAGAAATCTGTCCCCATGATTCAATCACATCCCACAAGGCCCCTCCTCCAAAACTAAGAATTACAATTCAACATGAGATTTCGGTGGGGACACAGAGCCAAACCGTTTCAGGCTGTGTAGTCATTTTCATGGTATTAATTGTTCTGATACATGAGCAAAGGGTATATTTCTATTTGTTTGTGTCATCTTCAATTTTCTTGTTCAATGTTTAGTAATTTTTTTCTTAAAAAGATCTTTCACCTTCTTGGTTAAGTTTATTCCTGGATATCTCAGTTATCATGTAGCTGTTTTAAGTGGGATTGCCTTCTTTTTTTCTTTTTAGATGGTCCACTATTGATGCATGGAAATATTAAATAATTTTCTATGTTAATGGTATATCCAGAAATTTACTGAATTTATTTATCAGATAATTGAGTTTTCTGTTGCATTCTTTAGATATTTGTAGATATAAGATCATATTATCAGCAAAAAGAAAAATTTGACTTCCTGTTTTCTAATTTGGATGTCTGTCATTTCCTCCACTTGCCTGATTGCTCTGGCTAAAACTTAAAATACTATGTTTTATAGGAGTGCTGATAATGAGCATTCTTGTCTTGATACTGGGCATTCTTGTCTTGTTCCAGTTTTTAAAAGAAAGAATTTCAGCTTTTACCCATTCATTATGATATTTTTATGGGCTTGTCATATATGGCTTTTATTATGTTGTTATATATTCCCTTTAGTCATAATTTATTGAGTTTTTATCAGAAAAAGATGTTCAATTTTAACATTTTTTTCTGCATTTATTAAAATAATGATGTGGTTTTTCTTTTTCATTCTCTAGATGTGACATATCACATGTACTGATTTGCATATATTGAACCACCCTTGAATACCTGGGATGCATCCGACTGGATCATGATGTATAAATTTTTGATGTGCAGTTGTTTGGTTTGCTGCCATTTTATTGAGAACTTTCTTATCTATATTTATCAGGAATATTGACCTGTAGTTTCCTTTTTTTTTGGTTCGGTTTTTGCATAAATTCAGTGTCAGAATAATGCTGTCCTGACAGAATGAGTTATGGAAATTTTTCATCTCTTAAACTTTTTCAAATATTTTGATCTATTCATATTTCTTTTAAATCTTGGTAAATTGGCAGTAAAGCCATTCAGTCCTAAACTTTTGTTTGTTGGAATATTTTTTTATTGAGTCAATTTCATTACTCATTATTGTTCTGTTCAGATTTTATATTTCTTCTTAATTCAGTATTGATAGTTTTTAAATGTCCAGAAACATATCCATTTTCTTAAGGTTCTCTAGTTTGTTGATGTATTATTGTTGTTCATTATAGTCTCTAATAATCTTTTGCATTTCTCTGTCCTCAGTTGCAATTCTCCTTTTTAACTTCTGGTTCATTTAGTTGGGTCTTCTTACATTTCCTGATTAGTTTAGTAAGTGGTTTGTTAAGTTTAATTTTTCAAAACTTCAAATTCTCATATTATTGATTTTTTAATTGTTAAAGTCTCCATTTTTTTAGTACTGTCCTGATCTTTGTTACATGTTTCCTGCTACCTATTTGTGATTGGTTTGTTCTTGCTCTTCTAGTATTTTGATGTGCATAATTAGATTTTTATATTAAATGTTTTTAGCTTTTTGATGGAGGCATTTATTGCTAAGGATTTGTCTTTTTTTTTTTTTTAGTTTATAATGTTTTACTATGATTTAGGGATTATTTTTTCCCAAAAAGAACAAAAATTATAAGCATAAAAACTCAGGTATCAGAAAGACTCAAAAGGCCGTTTTTCAATTTGTTCAGAGTTTGTTTCCAGGCATTAAGGGTGTCTTACAGTTGCTGCCACTGCTGTTTTCCAAATGTCCGATGTATGCCATGACTGACAACTACTTTTTTCTGATCAATTTTTCAGTAGATTATTTTAGTTCTTACTGTGTCAGTAGCAAATGCTTCAACATCATCAGCTCCAACTTAAAGTTCTTTCTGCATTGTATCAAAAGAAATTTCTTCATTTTCCACTGCCAGGAGTAATCTGGTGGGGGCTGGGCTCTCAAATTACACTATTCTATAGCTGCTTAAGGCTCAGCAGTAGATGGTATTCTGTGTGAGCAATTTTTCTGTAACAATGCCTTCACATGATCTCCAGGCAGCTTGCTATGTTAGTCTCAGGACCTGCAGGGTTCTAGGAGCTCTCTTAAGGCTCAGAAGGTAGGAGTCTGTGGTGGGAATATGGACCACTCTCACTTACCTTTTTTCTGCTTTAGATAGCTCTCTAAATTGTCAGCCAATTCTAACTCAGCAAGCTGCCTTGATTTCCTTTTCTTCCTTGCTTTTATTGCTTTCCATCCTCTGTTGAATTTTAGTGCTCTTTCTTAGATGATCTGATCAAAGTGTGTTTACTGACTTGCTCTGTTTGCTCTTTTACATGGAAGAAGAGAGTATCATATGCATCTACTATATGAAACAATGTCATCTGGAAATAGAAAAAAATACTTCTTTTTTCTGATTCGGATGCCTTTTATTTATTTATTCTTGCCTATTAGCACCAAAACTTCTATCAGTACGTCAAATAAAAGTGGTTATAACGAACATTCTTGTCTTATTCCTGATGATACAGAAAAAGCTTTTGCCTTTTAACGATTGGTTATGAATTAGCTGTGTGATTTTTATATATGGCCTTTATTTTATTGAGTTACATTCTTCTTATAAGTAACTTGTTGAAAGCTTTTATCATGAAAGATTTTGAATTGTGCCATTTGTTTTTTTTTCTGCATTTATGGAGATAATCATATACATTTTATTATTCATTCTATTAATTTGCCTCCTTATTAATATTGAATTGCATATCTTTAAATATCCCTTAATCTCAGAGATATATCTAAGTTGGCCAGAGTATATGATCTTATTTTTGTGCTGTTAAATTTGGTTTGCTGGTTTTTTGTAAAGAATTTTATATCTATGCTCATCAGGAATATTAAACTGTACCTTTATTTTATTATACCATTATAATCTGGATTAGTATAAGGCTAATGCTGCCTTCATTGAGTTTGGAAGCATTTACTTGTCTCCAATATTTGAAAGAGCTTGAGAATTATTTGTATTAGTTTTTCCTTAAAAGTTTGGTAGATTTCTGCCATGAAACCAGCAGGCCCTGGGCTTTTCTTTGATGGAATATTTTTGTTCATTGATTCAATCTTCTTTCTCATTACTGTTCTATACAGATTTTCTGTTTCTTCATATTTCAGATGCTTCAGTTGTGTGTTTCTAAACATTTATTAATTCATTCTTTCTTTTTCAATTTTTTGCCATATATTTGCTCATAGTAGTCTTTTATGACCCTATGTACTTCTGTGGTATCAGTTGTATTCTATCCACTTTTATTTATAATTTTATTAATTTGAGGTTCCTTTCATTTTACTTGGTTAGTCTAGTTAAAGGCTTTTTAAACATTTTTTATTTTGTCAAATAATCAATCAAGCCTCAGTTTTGTCAATTTTTTAAATTATCTTTCTAGTCTCAATTTTATTTGTTTCTTCTCTAATATTTTTTTCTCTCTTTTGCAAAATTGGGGTTTTGTTCTTTTTTATTTTGTTTTTTTCTTGGTTTGTTACTTCTCCTTGATGTGTAAAAATTTTTTATGTTGAGTTTTTAAAAATATAGGTATTTATTATAATAAGCTTCTTTCTTTGTAATGCTTCTGCTTAATACCATACACAGTATTTAAAAAAAATATTATTTGTCTCAAGAAACTTTTTTGTTTTCAGTTTGATTTTGTTTTTACCCATTAATTGTTCAGTAGAGGGTAGTTTAATTTTCATATATTGGTGAATTTTCCAGAATTTCTTCTTTTTCTAGTTTTATACCATTGTTGTTTGAAAATATGTTTGATAAGATATCAATCTTTAATTTGTCAAGACTTGTTATGTGGCCAAACATATGACCCATACTGAACAATGTTGTGTGTGCACTGAGAAAAAGACATGTATTCTTTTGCTATAGTGTTTTATCAAGTTTTTCTTTTGCTTATTGATTTTGTCTGAATGATTTAACCATTTTTGTTAGCAATGTATTAAAATCCCCTATCATAATTTTATTGATGTCTATTTCTTTCTTCATTTCTGTTAAAATTTGTTTCATATATTTCCCTGCCTCAATATTGGGTGAATATAGATTTACAACTATTATATCTTCTTGGTGGATTAACCAGTTTATCATTATATAGTGACTTTTTTCTCTTCTGTAAAATATTTTGCCTAAATTTTTTATTTTTCTGATATAAATAGTCACCTGCTCCCTTTGGGTTACCATTTTCATGTTATGATTTTCCCATTCTTTTACTTTATGTGTGTCCTTAAGGCTAATCTGAGTCTCTTATGGTAGTATTTTATTGGATCTTTTTTAAAAATCTGCTCAAGCACTCTGTGTCTTCTGGTAAAAATTTTAATTAATTTATATTTAAAGCAATTATTTATAGGTAAGAGCATACTATTTCCATTTTGTTCATTGTTTTTTGACTGTTTTGCTTTTTTTGTTTGCTTAAGTCTTGCTGTCTTTTTTTTTTTTTTGATTTGTTGGTTTTTTGTAGTGGTATTATTTGATTCATTTGCCTTTACTTTTTGTGTATTTACTATAAGTTTTAAATTTGTCTATACCATGAGGCTTACATAAAACATTTTATAGTTTTTTTCCAATATAGCAAATTGAAGGCATTGCTAGCATTATCTCTCCTAATTGGAAGGACAAAATACTGTGTATAGGTTCACATTGTACACTTTTTTAAAGAAGTAACACGGTGACTCAACCAAAAAAACAGAAGGAACCTATGGACTCTTTGAAGGAAGCAGGGGGAGGCAGCATACACTATGAGTCAGGCAAAGTCCCCCAGTTGTGAGAGGGGGAGAGTTTGCCCCTGGGATATACACCCTCACTGTGGAACCAGAATATCCTGGACACAGGGAAAGGCCCTAATCCCACTCAACTCAGTAATGGGCTTGGGGAAGGCCATGGAATATAAAAATAGGAGCAGCAGTGTGAAGACCCTTACATGCACTCCCAGATTCCAATGTGGACTGAGGGCAACAATTTATTACTCTTCCTCATGGGAGACTCTCTCTAGGAAAGCCAAAAAGTTCAGGCACTGGTCAGAGGTTGAAAGAAGCTCTCAGTGGGGTTTCACAATATAACCTCAGGTAGGGATGAAGTCTCTTGGGCAGGGCTAGGGCACAAGGGAGTGAAAAGAGGGCTGTGAGTACAGGAGTTATGAATGCAGGAATTGTAAAAGCAGGATCCATGGGTGCAGGAGCCAGGTGCCTGGCTTTGCAGTGGACAGGGAGAAGTATAGCTTGAAAGCTGAGGTTGCAGTCTTCATGGGAATAGCTCATGACTCCAGGCAGTGATGTGATCTGATTACAGGCTGACTGGAACTCAGTTTTCTGCTGCCAGTGGAACACTGTGGAAATAGATCTTCCTTTCCAAGTGCATGGAAACTGTGAGGCTTACCACCACCTGGTACCCCCACTCCCTGCACAAACTCTTCTGCACAGCAGAGGCATCAATTCTCCTCTCTGGAACATCAACCTGGTGGCCTGAGACCTGCTTCCATCCTCCAACACCCACAGAGGCTGCTCTGCACATGGTGATACAGAAGGCAAACCTACCCTACTGAGCCTCACTCTGATTGATAGCTTAACACAAGGAACAGAATCTCTTGGGAGCTACACAGACCTACCATTGCCTGAGAAACCAGAGTAAGCCCTATAGGCAGCATAAGGCAAACAAAATCCCACTGCTAATTCAGCTCACACTCTTTTGCAAGTGCCACATCCTAGCTAAAAGCCAACCACCATGGTCCATTACAGTATCTCCTAGTAGAATAATACTGTACCCAGGAAGGAAAAAATGACTATGCGATCTCAGCTACACAACGGCCTGCATGAATCTGGCTAACCAGGAGGTCTTGAGTCTGTTCATGTGACCAGCTCATTATTACTAACACTGGCATTCAAGAAAGCCAACACAATAAAGCTATCAATAACCAAAAGATTTCACAGAGTCTATATCACTCCCTTGCCACCCCCATTAGAGTTTGTGTTGCTACCCACTGCTGGGAAACTTGAGGACAGCTCACATCACCAGATCATTTTCAGAAATTGCCCAACACCAGCCTGGATTGTGGCACCTTCAATGGGCAGCTAGACACAGAGGAGCAACAACACTCACAGTTGCCTAGCTCTCACAGACTCCCACTCCTAAAGAAAGAGGGAGTGCACCACATTAAGGGAACACCCTGTGGGACAAAAGGAACCCGATGAGAGGCCCTGAGCACCAGATCCTACCACTTGAGGAAAGCCTCCTTCAGCAGAGGCACAGTTTAAGTGCTAAGCTCACCAAGGAATGTCTTCAGTTATCTTCCAGCCGTCAAACAGCCCTGGTGCATGTGAAGGGCCTTGGAAAAGAGGAAGTCTTTCCCTACTTATCCACCAAAATAAGCACAGCTGTGGCTTCTCCCATGGGAGTGTGACTTGGGTGCAAATATAAACAGACTTTCTGGAACACATCAGGATGACTGCATCTTCAAAGAAGAAGCACCTTCCTGTTTCAGGTTTGCATGAGATACAGAGTCACAATTCCTCTCTATGTAGAACATTCCTATAGATGAAAAGAGGTGCTTGTCTAATTAGAATAGTCATAGCATTGTGACAGAAGCATGTCTGAGAGATGAATACATTTACTGCTGAGCTGGCAAAGGTGCTGAGCTGGCTCCAGAGCTTTTCCATGATAAGACCTTGGTGCAACTCCCTGAGAGTTCCTCCAGCCACTCTTTCAGGTCTAAGACTTCATTTACCCACATGCTAAGCCACAACCAGTTTCTATATGGGGACACCACCCCTACTGTCCTTAAGCCTAAACTATCAAACCAGTAAATACTGGGAGTAAATGAATAAAATAAAAAAGTGCACACCACAGGGGAATGAGTTAAGCTTTAAGGTGTCTCTATAATTCAAATTCCATAGGAAATAGTGAACTTGTTCATCCACCAAGCGCATTGACACTACAACCAGTATGTGAGAAAGCCATTATACAAAAACTCTCAATAAGCAAGGAACTCTTACAGAGTCTTCACCACTGAAAGCACCAAGAACCAAATTAGGGTAAAATTAACTATAGGCATTAAAGTATAATTTTTAAGGAGGAAATAAAAAAATTAAAATCAAACACACAAAAGAAACAGTCAAATCAAACATAAATTAAAAAATAATTAGAAGAAATAGTCTATCCAAATGAGAAGAAAGCAGAAAAATAACTTTGGTAATGTGACAAAACAGGGTGCTCTACCACCCCCAAAAGATCACACTGGCTCTCCAGCAATGGACCCAAACCCAGAATAAAACTGTGAAATACTGATAAGAAATTCAGAAGTTTGATTATTAAGCTACTCAAGTAGATACCAGAGAACGATAAAAACCATCACAAAGAAATTTTAAAAAGAAGTTCAGAATATGAACGAGAAAGTTTTAGAGAGATACAATCAAGGAAAAACAATGAGAACTTATGGATATGAAAGACATACTGAAAGAATTAGAAAATTGAGTGGAAAGTTCTAACAATGGGCTAGAACAAGTAGAAGAAATAATTTTAGAGTTTGAAGACAAGTCGTTTAAATTAACCAAATCAGACAAAAATAAAGAAATATCAAAAGAAATAGACAAGCTATCTAAGAAATATGGGATTGTGCAAAGCAGCCAAATCTAAGAAAAATTGGCATTCCTGAAGAAGAGAAAATAATAAGTCTGGAACACTTATTTGAGGGAATAATTGATATCTTTTCTATCCGGGCTCAAGATCTACATATCCAAATCCAAGAAGCTCAAAGAACTCCTGGGAAATGTATTGCAAAAAGAAATTTCACCAAAACATATAATCATCAGGCTATCTAAATTCAACATGAAGGCAAGAATTCTAAGAGCAGTGAGACAAAAGCATCAGGAAACCTACAAGGAAAATCCTATCAGACTCACAGCAGGCTTCTCAGAAGAAACTTTACAAGCCAGAAGGGATTGGAGTCCTATCTTCAACCTCCTTAAACAGAGAAAATATCAGCTAATAATTTTGTATCTTACAAAATTAAGTTTCATAAATGAAGGAGAAATATAGTCATTTTCAGACAAACAAATGCTGAAGGCATTTGTCACAACCAAACCAGCACTACAGGAAATGCTAAAAGGAGTTCTAAGCCCTTAAACAAAGCTTGATATGCACCAAATTAAAACTTCTTGAAAGCTTAAATCTCACAAAGCCTATAAAACAATAACACAGTTAGAAAAAAAAATCTAGGTTACAATTAACATGATGAAGAGAAGAGTACCTCATGTCTCAATATTAACATTAAATATAAATGGCCTAAATGTTCCACTTAAAAGATATGGAATGGCAGAGTAGACTTAAAAAAAAGAAAACCATCAACGAAATATCTGCTCTCTTCAAGAGACCATGTAATATAGAAAGATTCATGTTAACTCAAGTTAAAAGGGTGAAAAAAGATATTCCACAATAATGGAAACCAAAAGCTAGCAGGAGAAGTTATTCTTATGCAAAATATACTTCAAAGCAACAACAGTAAATAAAAAAGACTAAGATGCTCACTATATAATGATAAAGGAATCAATTCAACAAGAAGACATTACAATCTTAAATTTATGTCCACCAAATGCTAGAGGTCCTAGATCCATAAAACAATTAATACTAAACCTAAGAAATGAGATAGACAGCAAAACAATAATAGTGGGAGACATCAATACACCACTGACAGCACCAGATAGATCGTCAAGACTGAAACTCAACAGAGAAACAATGAACATACATGACATGCTAGAATAAATAAACTTAATTGATATTTACAGAACATTCTAACCAAGATCTGTGAAATATACATTCTTCTCATCAGTACATGGAATATTCTCCATGATAGACCATATGATAGGCCACAAAACAAATCTCAATAAATTTCAAAATATTGAAATCACAAGTATCATTCCAGAACAGAGTGAAAACAAACTAGAAATCAACTTCTAAAGGAACCCTCAAAATGATAAAAAAAGGGAAATTAAATGATCTGCTAAATTATATCCTGGTTAACAATGAAATTACGATGAAAATTTTAAAGTTCTTTGAATTGGATGATAATAATGAGACAAGTTATCAAAACTGCTGCAACACAGCAAAAGCAGTCCTAAGAGGAAAACTTACAGCACTAATCACCTGCATCAAAAAGTCTGAAAGAACACAAATTGGCAACCTAATGTCACACTTCAAGGAACTGAAAAAACAAGAACAAACTAAACCTGAAGCTAGAAGAAGAAAGTAAATAATAGAATCAGAGCAGAGAAACATGAAATTCAAAAAAAAATTTTTTTAAACTTAATTTTAAAAATATTGTTTAAGAGTAATGGCAAAAATTTTTACTTTTAAGAGTAAGCAAAAAACGTTTACTTTTAAGAGTAATGGCAAAAACTACAATGACTTTTGCAATTACTTTTGCACGAGCCTAATAGAAAAAAAAATGAATAAAAGTGATAGACCATTAGCTATATTAATCCAAAAAGAAGAGTGAAGACCCAGATAAGCTCAATTAGAAATAAAAATGGAGACATTACAACCTACACCACAGAAATACAAAATATCATTTGAGAAAACTATGAAAATCTTTACGTGCACAAACTAGAAAACCTAGACAAAATGGACAAATTCCTAGTAACATACAATCCTCCTAGATTAAATTAGGAAGATACAGAAATCTTGAACAGATCAATAACAAGCAGCAACATTAAATCAGTGAATTAAAAATTGCCAAGAAAAAGAATTCCAGGACCAGATGGATGAACAGCTGAATTCTACCAGATATTCAAAAATGAATTGGCACTAATCCTTCTAAAACTACTCCGAAAAATTGAGAAAGAAGAAATTCTTCCTAAATCATTCCATGACGCTAGTATCACACTGATACCAAAGTCAGGAAAGGACAAAACTACAACACCACAAAACTACAAATAGATTTCTCTGATGAACATTTATGCAAAAATCCACACAAAAAAATTAGCTAACTGAATCCAACAGCACTTTACCAGAATTTAAATTTTACTACAAGGCTATAATTACCGCTATAGCATGGTACTGGTATAAAAGTAGGCACACAGACCAATAAAATAGAATAGAGAACCTAGAAATAAAGTCAAATACATACAGCCAACCGATTTTCAACAAAGCATACAAAAACATAAATTGGGGAATGGTCGCTCTATTTAATAAATGGTCCTGGGAAAACTGGCAAGCCACAGCTAGAAGAATGAAACTGGATCCCTATCTCTCACCATATGCAAAAATCAACTCAAATGAATCCAAGACTTAAATATAATCTCAAATCATAAAAATTCTAGAAGACAATATTGAAAAAAATTTTCTAGACATTGACTTAGGCACAGAATTCATGACTAAGACCTCAAAAACAAATGCATCAAAAACAAAAATAAATAAATGGGACCTAATTAAACTAAAAAGCTTCTGCACAATAATAGGTATAATTAACAGAGTAAACAGACAGCCCACAGAATGGAAGAAAATATTTACAAACTATGCATCCAATAAAAGATTAGTATCCAAAATCTATAAGCAACCACAACAAATTAGGAAGATAAAACCAAATAATCCCATTAAGAAGTGGGCAAAGGACATGAGTAGACATTTCTCAAAAGAACATATACAAATGGCCAACAAACCTATGAATAAATAGTCAACATCACTAATCACCAGGGAAGTACAAATTAAAACCAAAATGTGATGCCACCTTACTCCTTCAAGAGCCATTATTAAGAAGTAAAAAAGTAAAATAAAATAAAAGATGTTGTTGTGGCTGTGGGTAACAGACAATGCTGATACACTGCTGGTGGAAATGTAAATTAGTACATCTTCTGTAGAAAACAGTATGGAAATTCCTTAAAGAGCTAAAAGTAAGTGTACCATTTGATCCATCAATCTCACTACTGAGTATCTACCCAAAGGAAAGAAGTCATTACACGAAGAAGACAATTGCACAGGTATGTTGGTAGCAGCACAATTCACAGTTGCAAAGATGTGGAATCAACCTATATACCCATTAATTAATGAGTGGATAAAAAATGTGGTATATATACACCATGAAATACTAATCAGCCATTAAAAGGAACAAAATAATGTCTTTTGCAGCAACTTGGATAGAGCTGGAGGCCATTATTCTAAGTGAAGTAACATAGGAGTGGGAAACCAAAATTCATCTGTTCTCTTATAAGTGAGAGCTAAGCTATGAGTACACAGAAGCATACAGAGTGATATAATGGGCTTTAGAGACTCAGAAGAGGTAGAGTGAGAAGGAGGCCAGAGATTTAAAAATGCAATTTAGGTACAATATACACTACTCTGGTGATAAGTGCACTAAAAGTCTCAGAATTCACCACTATATAATTCATTCATGTAACCAAAAATGACTTGTACCCCAAAAGCTGTTGAAATAGAAAAATAAACAGGCTTAAAAAAAAGTAATAAAAAAGAAATAAAACAACTTATAGCAGTGAATTTAAGCTCATAACAATTTAACTTCAATTACGTACAAAATTCTACATTTGTATTTCTCGCCCAAGCATTTTATGCTATTGATTTCACACTTTACATAATTTTATACTGTGTTTCCATTAACACAATATTATAGTTACAGTTAATTTTAATGTTGTTGCCCTTTTACTTTTTTTTTTTTTTTGAGATGGAGTCTCGCTCTGTTGCCCAGACTGGAGTGCAGCGGTGCGATCTTGGCTCACTGCAACCTCTGCCTCCCAGGTTCAAGAAATTCTCCTGCCTCAGCCTCCCTAGTAGCTGGAATTAAGGCGCCCACCACTATGCCCGACTAATCTTTGTATTTTTAGTAGAGACGGGGTTTCACCATATTGGCCAGGCTGGTCTCGAACACCTGACCTAGTGATCCACCCACCTCGGCCTCCCAAAGTGCTGGGATTACAGGGGTGAGTCACCATGCCTGGCCTGTCCTTTTACTTTCATATTAGAGTTAAAAGTGATTTACACACCACCATTAGAGTATTAGGGTATTCTGAATTTGACCATACATTTACTTTTAAGGGTGGGTTTTATAATTTTATATGTTTTCATTTTGTTACTTAATGTGCTTCTGTTTCAATTTCAATGACTATAGCATTTATTGTAAGGAAGGTGTATATAGTGATAATAAACTCTGTCATGTTTTGTTTGTCTCCTTAGTTTCTGAAGTACTGATATGTCAGGTATGGTGTTCTCAGTTGGATTTTTCCTTTATTTAGCATTTTAAAAATATTTTTCCACTTCCTCCTGGCCTGCAAAGTTTCTGCTGAGAAGTCTGCTGATAGCCTTATGGGAGTTCACTTATAAGCGATAAATCACTTTTCCCTTGATGCTTTGAAGAGTACCTCTTTGTCTTCAACTTTTGATAATTTTATTTTAAAATGTTTCAGGTTATTCTTCTTTAAATTGTTTTTACTTGAGATCTGCTGAGCTCCATTAATATAAATGTCTATATCACTTTAAAGATTTTCATATTTTCAGTCATTATTTCTTTAAATAATTTGTCTGCTCCTTTTTCTTCTTTTTGGACTCATCATATTTGCTTGATGGTTTCCCAGGGGCCCCTTATCTTTACTTGAGTCGTTTTCATCTTTATTGCTTTTCGTTCCTGTCATTGGCTAATTTCAAATAACCTGTCTTAAATTTGCTAATTCTTCCTCATGATTGAGTCTTCTGTTGAAGTTCATCTATTTGTAAATATTAGTGTTCATAAATGCTTGGAATATACTTATTGAATTTTAAAAATGCAAAAACAGTGTTACTTATGTTTCCCATCACATCCCCCCGTACACAAAACTTATGCAAATGCTTTTTATTAGTGTACTTACATTATGTTCAAAGCAACTTCTTGCTTAAATATGACTTAAAAATTATTAAAGACAAAATATAATTTTAAAAGAGTAGATAGATTTTATGGTGATTCTAGAACAGAAAATTTATTGTGTTTCCTTAAGTCATTTTGACATTGCCATAGTAATAAATTCATTTAAGGCATGTTAGTATCATTAATTGTGGTGATAATTGTCATTGAGAAAACATCACCTAATTCTTATGGCAAAATGTTGTCAGTTCGTGTCTCAGAAAATCATACTGCAATAATATCATTTCCTTCTGAGCGTTCATGTAAATAAGTTTTCCAGCATCAAACAGTTACTAATTATGTATATACTGATAGCTCAAGTACAAGTTGTATAAGCACAGCTGATTTTCATAAAATTGGTAAATGATTAGAGGAAAGTTTGGTCTCCTGATCTATCTTTGCAGCCTCAATCGTAATGGCTGCAGAGTGGGCTATGCTGTATTTCATGTAAAATACTTTGTGTTCTGGGTAGGATATTGTTTCAGATGAGAAGCAATTTAGGAGCCAAAAGTTTCAAATAGGGTTCATGTTAAAGTGAAGGAAGTTCTATCTAGGTAAAAATATTCTAAGAGGCATGTTTTTAGGTCAGTAGAAAATATAGGTACTTATTTTAATAAGGTTTCAAACTTTGCCAAATTCTAAGACAACATGTAAATTGAATAAAATTTAATCTAATGTCTAAATATCATAAAAACTAAAGAAATACCTCATCCATTTCAAATGAATTCTAAAAGCATAAGGAAAGGACTATTATTACATCAAAATTTTCACAAAATACAATAAAAAACGCTTAGGGTCAGAAAGATGTAAAATGTAGATTATTGTTGGATTTTTAAAACTTTACAGAGTATATATTGTATATTACTTAACTTCTCCACTGAGATCTGTTGCAAAATTCTATAATCAAAATGCATAAATATTTATCCAAGCTCATTAATATATTTAATAAAAATTAATGGCAACTTATGTTAGATTTTGCTACCAAATCAATTTTTTATTCACACTTATTAAAACAAAGAAAATCCAAATTTTTGTTTTCAGAGTATTTTTGGTTACAGAATTGAGAACAAAGGGCTGGAGACCTGTATATACTTTAATAATGAAGATGTCCTTGCAACCTCCACCAACTACGAATACAGGTTCTTTATCTTAGAGGGAAGAAAAGCAGTGGGGGAGAGAGTATGGAAAAAAGATCAGGAATCCACATTATATATAATACATTTTTATATATTTTTGGTTTTTAAACTCTGATAATGGGAAATATACTTGTTATGATTATTGCTACACTTTTTGTTGCCTTTTTATTCCATAAATTTGCATTTCTAAATAGTTTCTTCTAGGGTTTTTGCATAGTCATTTTACAATAAGGATTGTGATAAACAGAAATATCTGTGCTATGTTGAAATCTGCAATGAGATGCATTCTCAATCATTTGGCTCTGCATATGTCTTCAATATTTTTGTATGATTTATACATAAAAGTGACAAAGTCATTAATAGACTTATTCAGACACATTCTGGAGGAGAAATTACCAATATCCCAGCTTAAGACATTAAGGTGAACAACCACTAAGCATAACAGGGTTTCTTTACTGACCAATTATTAAAAAAAAAAAAATAAGTGAAAGTACCTCTCTCAATGTAGCTACAAGTGGGCTCCAAAAAATCATCCATGGTGGAATAGGATGTAGACATCACTAGCCTTCAAAAATATTTTTAAATTAGGAAACCGTCTTGGTTAATTCCACCCCTCCGCTTTTTCATCATTCTTATGATTTTTGGGCCATTGAAAAACTCTGTTCTGTTAAATGTATGTAAACTGATTAATACTAAACTCATATTTGAAATTTATGTAAAACATAAGATTTATATAAAGGGGGCATTTTCAACTCTTCATGGGGTGAGTTAGTTGAAGGTAAATTCAAGTTACAAAAATACATTTTTGAAGACAATCTAACAGTTAATGAAAATATGTCTATGAAATAAAGGAAATCTGAATTAAATATTTATATAGTTTAATAGAAAATATTCAATAAATGCCATGTGATGAGCCATGGGCTAGTTGCTAAGATATAAATTAGTTCAGTATTTAGAAAAAAAAAACTTAAAATGTTTGTAGGTGCATTAGTTCTGAAACCAGAGAAAAACCGAGTAATGTATGGGTGTTTCACCCTATTTACTAAAACTACTTTCATGATAAACCACAATTAAACCATTAATAGCAAACCTCACAATTTTTTACCACATGAAATGGAAATTCTATTTTTTGAAATGCTTCACCTAACTTCTATTTCAACTCCGACACATGAAGAGTTTGTAAATTTGTAAGTTGTCACTTCTGTTTTTATAATAAATAGTGGGACAAACTGAAAAGTGACAACATGTTTTGAACCACCAGACAACTGAGGTCATAGGGAAAACCACTACCTTGAGATTTGGAGAGGGAGGCACATCGAAAGATATGTATAAATTGAAATCGGCTTATCTAAATCAGAAACCACTACAGCCATAAACAAGTAGAATTACTTAAATAGTGTGATGGTTAATACTGTGTCAACTTGATTGGATTGAAGGATGCAAAGTATTGATACTGGGTGTGTCTGTGAGGGTGTTGCCAAAGGAGATTAACATTTGAGTCAGTGGGCTGGGGAAGACAGACCCACCCTTAATCTGATGGGCACAATCAAATCAGCTGACAACGAATATAAAGCAAGCAGAAAAACGTGAAAAGGCCAGACTGGCCTAGCCTCCCAGTCTACATCTTTCTCCCATGCTGGATGCTTCCTGCCCTCAAACATCAAACTCCAAGTTCTTCAGTTTTCAGACTCAAACTGGCTCACCTTCCTCCGCAAGCTTGCAGACAGCCTATTGCAGGACCTTGTGATCGTGTAAGTTAATACTTAACAAACTCCCCTTTATATATATATCCTTTTAGTTATGTCTATATATATCCTTTTAGTTATGTCTCTCTATGGAAACCTGACTAATACAAAGTGTGATCTTGATGAGTTACTGGAGGTTAAACATAGACTGGCTTGAGAGTTGAAAAAAAAAAAAAAAACAACTAGGGTGGCAGTCTTGGGAGGGCAAAATTTGGTCAGCATTTTTTCCATAGAAACCTGTCTTAATTTGTTTTGTGTTTTTATAACAGAATTCTGTAGACAGAGTAATTTATAATAAACAGAAATTTACTGGCTCAAAGTTATAGAGGCTGGAAAGTGTAAAATCAAGGTGCCAGCATCTGCCAATGGCCTTCATATTGTCATAACGTGGCAAAAGATATCACATGGCAGAAAGCAAACAGAGGATGAGAGAGAGAAAACAAGAGGGGTCAAACTTACTTGCTCAATAAAGGCATTAATCCACTTATAAGTGTGATGCCCTCAAGACCTAAATACCTCTTAAAGGTTCCACTTCTTCATAGTGTTGAAATGGCAATTACATTTCAACATGAGGTTTTGAGGGGACAAACATTTATGTAATACCAGGGCATTCCATCCCCTGATCCGCCATAACGTGTGTTCTTCTCAAGTACAAAATATTACATCCTGTCTCAATAGCTCCAAAAGTCTCATTCTATCATCAACTCCAAAGTCTAAAGTCTCATGTAAATTGGATATGGATGAAAATCAAGGCATAAGTCATCCTAAGGCAAGCTTCTCTCTAGCTGTGAACCTGGAAAATTAAAACAAAATGCTTTTATTTTACATGCTTCCAAAATACAATGGTGGGACAAGCATAGGATAGACATTTCTATTCAAAAAAAAAAAAAAAAAAAAAAAAAAGAGGCAAGGAAAAAGGAGCAATGGGTCCCAAGAAAGTCCAAAACCCAAATTGAAAAACAACACTAAACCCTAAGGCTTGCAAATCTTATTTGAGTTCAAGTTCCACCTTATAAACACATAATGAGCCTCACTTTAAAGTGTTGAAAATAACTTGGATTTTAAAGTTTAATATCCATTAAAATTTTAATGGATATTAAAAATTCTAGTGCAACCACTAAGAAAAGTAATTTTAAAGGAAGTATGATTTATTTGTTAAGAGAGGAGAGAAAATAAAAGCACGTAATGTTTTCAATTTTACCCAGAAAAGAGTGAAATGAGTAGAAGGGAAAAAAAAAGAAACAAAAAACAAAGGCACAAAATCGAAAACAGTAAGAAATATGACAGACTATAATACATTGATAATCAAGAATCACTTTAAGTGTAAATGGTCTAAATACAACAATAAAGAGACAGACTGTCAGAGTAGATAAAAACAGGATAACATTCTGTGTTGTGTACAAAACCTCAAAATATAAAGGCACAGGCAGATTAAATGTGAAGATATGGAGACATACATACTATGCTAACCCTAATAAGAAAAGAGTGAAAGTGGCTATATTGGTTTAAAACAGAGCATTGTTCAGATAAGAAAATTTATCAGAGATAAATTGGGGTATAAAATAATTATTTGAAAGGTCAGTTCTACAAGAAGACATAACACTTCTAAACGTGAATGCACCTAATAGGGGAGCATCAGTATATATGAAGCAAAATGTGGTATAACTCAAAGGAGAAATAGACATATTCACTAATCTAGTTAGAGGCTTCAGTACCCCTTTTTAAGTAATTAACAGATCCAACAGGCAGAAAATCAGTAAGAAACAATTGAATTCAAGTGCAGCATCCATTCAATTGGACATAATTTACATTTGTGGAATCCTTCAGTGGAAAAAAAAACAGAATACTTATTTTTGCTAGCACATGAGGAATGTTTAGCAAGACAAATCATACTTTAGGACACAAAATACACCTTAAGAAATATAAAACAATAGAAATCACACAAACTAGACTCTCACACCATGATAGAATTAAACTACAAACCAATAAGATAAAAATTCCTGGAAAATTCCTAAGTACTTGGAGAGTTAACACACTTTTAAGTAATACAGGGGTCAAATAATACATCTCAAAAGATATTGTAAAATATATTCAATAAAACAAATATAAATGAAACTTATTAAAATTTGCAGAATGAGTAAAAGAAGGGCTTAAACAAGACTTATACCATTGAATGCATGTAATAGAAAATAAGACAGATCCGAAATCAATAATCTAAGCTTCCATTTAAAAAACTAGAAAAAAGAGAACACATTAAATCCATTAAAAACTGGAGCAGAATTACTAACATTGAAAATAGGAAATCAAGAGAATTAAAATTAATAAAGACAAAAGATGGTTCTTTGACAACATCTATAAAATTTGTAAACTAGCCAGACTAATTAATAAAGAGGAGACACAAATTACTAATATTAAGAATAAAAGATAGTTTATCACTACTAATCATAAAAAACATAATAAAGAAACATTGTGAACAATTCTATGCCCACAAATTCAATAACCTATGTAAAATGGATCAATTCTTTTTTTTTTCTTTTTTTTTTAAATTATACTATAAGTTTTAGGGTACATGTGCACATTGTGCAGGTTAGTTACATATGTATACATGTGCCATGCTGGTGCGCTGCACCCACTAACTCGTCATCTAGCCTTAGGTATATCTCCCAATGCTATCCCTCCCCGCTCCCCCCACCCCACCACAGTCCCCAGAGTGTGATATACCCCTTCATGTGTCCATGTGATCTCATTGTTCAATTCCCACCTATGAGTGAGAATATGCGGTGTTTGGTTTTTTGTTCTAGCGATAGTTTACTGAGAATGATGATTTCCAATTTCATCCATGTCCCTACAAAGGACATGAACTCATCATTTTTTATGGCTGCATAGTATTCCATGGTGTATATGTGCCACATTTTCTTAATCCAGTCTATCATTGTTGGACATTTGGGTTGGTTCCAAGTCTTTGCTATTGTGAATAATGCCGCAATAAACATACGTGTGCATGTGTCTTTATAGCAGCATGATTTATAGTCATTTGGGTATATACCCAGTAATGGGATGGCTGGGGCAAATGGTATTTCTAGTTCTAGATCCCTGAGGAATTGCCACACTGACTTCCACAATGGTTGAACTAGTTTACAGTCCCACCAACAGTGTAAAAGTGTTCCTATTTCTCCACATCCTCTCCAGCACCTGTTGTTTCCTGACTTTTTAATGATTGCCATTCTAACTGGTGTGAGATGATATCTCATAGTGGTTTTGATTTGCATTTCTCTGATGGCCAGTGATGATGAGCATTTTTTCATGTGTTTTTTGGCTGCATAAATGTCTTCTTTTGAGAAGTGTCTGTTCATGTCCTTTGCCCACTTTTTGATGTGGTTGTTTGTTTTTTTCTTGTAAATTTGTTTGAGTTCATTGTAGATTCTGGATATTAGCCCTTTGTCAGATGAGTAGGTTGCGAAAATTTTCTCCCATGTTGTAGGTTGCCTGTTCACTCTGATGGTAGTTTCTTTTGCTGTGCAGAAGCTCTTTAGTTTAATTAGATCCCATTTGTCAATTTTGGCTTTTGTTGCCATTGCTTTTGGTGTTTTGGACATGAAGTCCTTTCCCATGCCTATGTCCTGAATGGTAATGCCTAGGTTTTCTTCTAGGGTTTTTATGGTTTTAGGTCTAACGTTTAAATCTTTAATCCATCTTGAATTGATTTTTGTATAAGATGTAAGGAAGGGATCCAGTTTCAGCTTTCTACATATGGCTAGCCAGTTTTCCCAGCACCATTTATTAAATAGGGAATCCTTTCCCCATTGCTTGTTTTTCTCAGGTTTGTCAAAGATCAGATAGTTGTAGGTATGCAGCGTTATTTCTGAGGGCTCTGTTCTGTTCCATTGATCTATATCTCTGTTTTGGTACCAGTAACATGCTGTTTTGGTTACTGTAGCCTCGTAGTATAGTTTGAAGTCAGGTAGTGTGATGCCTCCAGCTTTGTTCTTTTGGCTTAGGATTGACTTGGCTATGCGGGCTCTTTTTTGGTTCCATATGAACTTTAAAGTAGTTTTTTCCAATTCTGTGAAGAAAGTCATTGGTAGCTTGATGGGGATGGCATTGAATCTGTAAATTACCTTGGGCAGTATGGCCATTTTCACGATATTGATTCTTCCTACCCATGAGCATGGAATGTTCTTCCATTTGTTTGTATCCTCTTTTATTTCATTGAGCAGTGGTTTGTAGTTCTCCTTGAAGAGGTCCTTCACATCCCTTGTAAGTTGGATTCCTAGGTATTTTATTCTCTTTGAAGCAATTGTGAATGGGAGTTCACTCATGATTTGGCTCTCTGTTTGTCTGTTGTTGGTGTATAAGAATGCTTGTGATTTTTGTACATTGATTTTGTATCCTGAGACTTTGCTGAAGTTGCTTATCAGCTTAAGGAGATTTTGGGCTGAGACGATGGGGTTTTCTAGATAAACAATCATGTCGTCTGCAAACAGGGACAATTTGACTTCCTCTTTTCCTAATTGAATACCCTTTATTTCCTTCTCCTGCCTGATTGCCCTGGCCAGAACTTCCAACACTATGTTGAATAGGAGCGGTGAGATAGGGCATCCCTGTCTTGTGCCAGTTTTCAAAGGGAATGCTTCCAGTTTTTGCCCATTCAGTATGATATTGGCTGTGGGTTTGTCATAGATAGCTCTTATTATTTTGAAATACGTCCCATCAATACCTAATTTATTGAGAGTTTTTAGCATGAAGGGTTGTTGAATTTTGTCAAAGGCTTTTTCTGCATCTATTGAGATAATCATGTGGTTTTTGTCTTTGGCTCTGCTTATATGCTGGATTACATTTATTGATTTGCATATATTGAACCAGTCTTGCATCCAAGGGATGAAGCCCACTTGATCATGGTGGATAAGTTTTTTTATGTGCTGCTGGACTCGTTTTGCCAGTATTTTATTGAGGATTTTTGCATCAATGTTCATCAAGGATATTGGTCTAAAATTCTCTTTTTTGGTTGTGTCTCTGCCTGGCTTTGGTATCAGAATGATGCTGGCCTCATAAAATGAGTTAGGGAGGATTCCCTCTTTTTCTATTGATTGGAATAGTTTCAGAAGGAATGGTACCAGTTCCTCCTTGTACCTCTGGTAGAATTCGGCTGTGAATCCATCTGGTCCTGGACTCTTTTTGGTTGGTAAACTATTGATTATTGCCCCAATTTCAGCTCCTGTTATTGGTCTATTCAGAGATTCAACTTCTTCCTGGTTTAGTCTTGGGAGAGTGTATGTGTCGAGGAATGTAAAAATGGATCAATTCTTTGAAAGAAGCAATCTACTAAGATTCAAAAAAAATAAAAAGATAATCTGAACAGACCTATATCTATTAAATAATTTAAATCCATAATTAATAACCTTCTAAAACAGAAAGCACTAGACCCACATTGATTCACTGGTAAATTCTAATAAACATTTAAGGAAGAATAAACACTAATTTTCTACAATATCTTCCAGAAAGTAAAAAGAGCAAAGAGAATACTTCCTAACTCATTCAATGAAGCTAGCATTACTTGAATACCTAGACCAGACAATGACATTACAAGAAAAATAAACTACAGATCAATATCTCTTATGAATATGAATGCAAATATTCTCAACTAAATACCAGTAATTGAAATTTAACCACATATAAAAAGAATTATACACAATAACCAAGTGAGATTTATTCCAGGTATGCAAATATTGTTCAACATTCGAAATCAATTAATATAATCTATCACATCAATAAACTAAAGAAGAAAAATCACAAGATCATATCAATAGATGCAGAGAAAGCATTTGATAAAATACATCACTCCTTCATGATAACTAGAAATAAAGCAAATTAGAAATAAAGGGGAACAATTTCAACACGAAGGAACATCTGGAAAACCTAGAGAGTACATCAGATTTATTGTTGAAACTCTCATCTTATTGAATTAGCTAGGAGTTCCAGTACAATTATGAGTATGAATGGTGAGAGGGGATATCATTGGCTTGTCCTGATCTTAGTGGGAAAGCCTTTAATTTCAAAATTAAGAGATATAGATGATGTTGTGCTCAGCAATGACTTTTTAGATAGAGCTCTAAAAGTACGATATGTGAAAGAGAATATTAGTAAGTTGGACTTAATTAAGATTAAAAACTTCTGCTCTTCAAAATGCACTATTAAGAGAATGCAACAATAGGATACACACTGGGACAAATATTTGTAAAAATCATATCTGATAAAGGATGGGTACTCAAAATATACAAAGAAATTTTAAACCTCAACATTAAGAAAAAAATCAACCCAATTTAAAAACAGACATCTCACCAAGGAAAATACAGAGACAACAAGTAAATATAAAAATGCTCCATATAATATGTCATTAGAGGACTGCGATTTGAAAAAATGAGATACCGCTACACACCAAGTAGCTAAAAGCTAAAACACTGACAACACCAAATGGTGCAACATTTGGAAGATGTGGAACAACAGAAACACTTATTCACTGTCAGTAGAAATATAAAATAATGCAGCAACAATGAAAGACAGTTAGGCATCCTTTTACAAAACTAAATATACTCTTATAATATGGTCTAACAATCATGTTTTTTGGTGTTTACCCGAATGATTGAAAAGTCATACCCATAGATAGACCTGCACATGAATACTTACAGTGGCCAAAACTTGGAAGCAAGCAAGATGTTATTCCATAGGGGTATGGATAAACAAACTGTGGTATATTCATACAATAGAATATTATTTATGTATAAAAATAAGTGAATTATCGAAACACAAAATGCATAGCAGTAACTTAAATACACATTGTTGAATGAAAAAAAGCCAACCTGCAAAGGGCACATTCTATATGATATCATCTCTATGACATTCCAGAAAAGGCAAATCACAAAGAAAGTAAAATGACCAGTGATTACCAGGGGTTAAAGGGTGGGGTGCCGGATGAATAGGTGGAACATGAGGGATTTTTAGCGCAGTGACACTATTCTGTATAACATTGTAATGGTGAATAAATGTGATTATACATTTGTGAAAACCTGCAGAATGTACAGCAACAAGAGTGAACCCTACTGGAAAGTATGGACTTCAGTAATAATTATAGTGTATCAATATTGGTTCATTAATTGTAACAAATGTACTACCCTAAGGAAAGATATCATAAGTAGAAAAAATTATTAGTGTTGACGGTGATGGTGACAGGGTATATAAACCGTTTGAATTTTCAGCTCAATTTTTCTGTAAACCTAAAACTGCTCTAAAAATGCTACTAATTTAAAAAGGATATATTCGTAAAAAGGATTTAGAAATCAATTACCTAAGCTTCCATCTCAGGAAACTACAAGAAGAACAAATGAAACCTAAAGCGAGCTGAAAAAAAAATTTACTACAAATTCAAGCAGAAATCCATAAAATAAAAACTAGGAAACAATAGAAAAGCCAGTAAAACCAAAGGCTTGTTCTTTGAAAAAGAATGACAAAAGTTGCAAATTTCTAACCAGTTAACCAAGAAAAAGAGAGAGAAGACATAAATTATCAAAATCAATAATCAAAGAAAGGTCATCACTATTAATTACGTTGACATTAAATGGATATTAAAGAAGTACTCTGAACAACTCTATATTCACAATTCGATGATGGTACAACGGACATTTTTTAGGCTACAATAGAATATTATCAACTATAGTCCTCATGCTATGCATTAGAGCTCTAGTCTTATCCTATGTAACCATAACTTTGTACCCTTTGACCTACTTTTCATTCCCCCCACCATCCCTAACTCTTGTAATCACCTTTGTACTCTCAGTTTCTATGAATTTGTTTATTTTATTGGATTTCACAAATAAGTGAGATAATTATTTTTCTCTTTCTCTCTGTCTTATTTCGTTTAGCATATCCTCTGGTTTCAGCAATATTGTTGCAGGTGTCAGGATCTTATTTTTTTAAGACTGAATATAGGTATTTCATTGTATTATTGCATATTTTATATATATTTTATTGTATATATATATATTCTCCTTCAGCTATTTATCTGTTGACAGACACTTAGGTTGTATTCATATCTTGGCTATTATGAATAATACTGCATCAAACATGGGAGTTGCAGATCTTTATAAGGTTCTGACTTCAGTTTTTCAAGTGTATACTCAGAAGAGGAAGTGCTGGCCATATGGTAATTCTAATTGAGGTTCTTAAGGAACCTCCATATTGTTTTCTGTATTGACTATATTAATTACATTTCCACCAATAATAATAAGATTACCTCTTCTCCACATCCTCGCTAACACTCGTTATCTTTGGCATTTTTAATAGTAGCCATTCTAATGTTTGTGAGGTGATATCTAATTGTGGTTTTGATTTGCATTTCCCTGAAGATTAGTGATATTGAGCAGCTTGCATATACATCTGCTGGATATTTTAACATTGTCTTTGGATAAATAAATAACGTATTTTGAAAATTATTACCTGCAGTATTATATTAAGAATTCTGGTGCGTCGTGGGCAAGATGGCTGAATAGGAACAGCTCAGGTCTGCAGCTCCCAGCGAGATCAATGCAGAAGGGGGGTGATTTTTGCATTTCCAACTGAGGTACCCAGCTAATCTCACTGGGACTGGTTAGACTGTGGGTGTAGCCCATGGAGGGCGAGTTGAAGCAGCCTGAGGCATTGCCTCACCCAGGAAAGGCAAGGGGTTGGGGAACTCTCTCCCTTAGCCAAGGGAAGCCATGATGGACTATGACATGAGGAATGGTGCACTCTGGCCCAGGTACTACACTTTTCCCACAGTCTTCACAACCTGCAGACCAGGAGATTCCCTCGGATGCCTATGCCACCAGGGCCCTGGATTTCAAGCACAAAAGTGGGGGGCCATTTGGGCAGACACTGAGCTAGCTGCAGGAGTTTTTCTACATACCCTAGTGGTGCCTGGAATGCCAGCGAGACAGAACCATTCACTCCCCTGGAAAAGGGGCTGAAGCCAGGGAGCCAAGTGGTCTAGCTCAGGGGATCCCAACCCCATGGAGCCCAGCAAGATAAGATCCACTGGCTTGAAATTCTTGCTGCCAGTAAAGTAGTCTGAAGTCAACCTGGGACACTTGAGCTTGGTAGGGGGAGGGGCATCCACCATTATTGAGGCTTGAGTAGGCTGTTTTCCCATCATAGTGTAAACAAAGCCACCAGGAAGTTCAAACTGGGCAGAGCCCACAACAGCTCAGCAAAGCTGCTGTAGCCAGACTGCATTTCTAGATTGCTCCTCTCTGGGCAAGACATCTCTGAAAGAAAGGCGGCATCCCTAGTCAGGAGCTTATAGAAAAAACTCCCATCTCCATGGGACAGAGCACCTAGAGGAAGGGGTGGATGAGGGCACAGCTTCAGCAGACTTAAATATTCCTACCTGCCACTTCTGAAGAGAGCAACAGATCCCCCAGCACAGTGTTCAAGATCTGCTAAGGGACAGACTGCCTCCTCAAGTGGGTCCCTGACCAGATGGATTCACAGCCAAATTCTAACAGAAACACAAAGAGGAGCTGGTACCATTCCTTCTGAAACTATTCCAGACAATAGAAAAAGAGGGAATCCTCCCTAACTCATTTTATGAGTCCAGCAACAACCTGATACCAAAACCTAGCAGAGACACACACAAAAAAGAAAATTTGAGTCCAATATCCCTGATGAACATCAATGTGAAAATCCTCAATTAAACACTGGCAAGTCGAAGCCAGCAGCACATCAAAAACCTTGTCCACCATGATCAAGTCAGTTTCATCCCTGGGATGCAAGGCTGGTTCAACATACCCAAATCAATAAACACAATCCATCACATAAACAGAACCAATGACAAAAACCACATGATTATCTCAATAGATGAAGAAAAGGCCTTCAACAAAATTCAACAGCCCTTCATGCTAAAAACTCTCAATAAACTAGGTATTGATGGAATGTATCTCAAAATAATAAGAGGTATTTATGAAAAAATCACAGCCAAAATCATACTGAATGGGCAAAAACTGGAAACATTCCCTTTGAAAACTGGCACAAGAAAAGGATGCCCTCTCTCACCACTCCTATTCAACACAGTGTTGAAAGTTCTGACCAGGGCAATCAGGCAAGAGAAAGAAATAAAGGGTATTCAAATAGGAAAAGAGGAAGTCAAATTGTCCCTGTTTGTAGATGACATGATTGTATATTTAGAAAACCCCATCGACTCAGCCCAAAATCTCCTTAAGCTGATAAGCAACTTCAGCAAAGTCTCAGGATACAAAATCAATGTGCAAAAATCACAAGCATTCCTATACACCAATAACAGACAAAAAAAGAGCCAAATCATGAGTGAACTGCCATTCACAATTGCTACAAAGAGAATAAAATACCTAGGAATACAACTTATGAGGGATGTAAAGAAACTCCTCTATGAGAACTACAAACCACTGCTCATGGAAATAAAAGAGGACACAAAGAAATGGAAGAACATTCCATGCTCATGGATAGGAACAATCAATATCAGGAAAATGGCCATACTGCCCAAAGTAATTTATAGATTCAAGGCTATCCCCATCAAAATACCATTGACTTTCTTCACAGAATTGGAAAAATCTACTTTAAAGTTAATATGGAACCAATAAAGAGCCCACAAACCCAAGACAATCTTAAGCAAGAAGAACAAAGCTGGAGGCATCACACTACCTGACTTCAAACTATATTACAAGGCTATGGTAACCAAAAAAGCATGGTACTGGTACCAAAACAGATATATAGACCAAAGGAACAGAACAGAGGCCTCAGAAATAAAACCTCTCATCTTTGACCACCTGATCTTTGACAAACCTGACAACAACAAGAAATGGGAAAAGGATTCCCTATTTAATAAATGGTGTAGGGAAAAACTGGCTAACCATAAGCAGAAAGCTGAAACTGGATCCCTTCCTTACACCTTATACAAAAATTAATTCAAGATGGATTAAAGACTTAAATGTTAGACTGAAAACCATAAAAACCCTAGAAGAAAGCCTAGGCAATACCATTAAGGACATAGGCATGGGCAAGGACTTCATGACTATAACACCAAAAGCAATGGCAACAAAAGCCAAAATTGACAAATGGGATCTAATTAAACTAAAGAGCTTCTGCACAGCAAAAGAAACTACCATCAGAGTGAACAGGCAACCTACAGAATGGGAGAAAATTTTTGCAATCTACTCATCTGACAAAGGGCTAATATCCAGAATCTACAAAGAACTCAAACAAATTTACAAGAAAAAAAAACAAACAACACCATCAACAAGTGGGCAAAGGATATGAACAGACACTTCTCAAAAGAAGACATTTAGGTAGCCAAAAGACACATGAAAAAATGCTCATCATCACTGGCCATCAGAGAAATGCAAATCAAAACCACAATGAGATATCATCTCACACCAGTTAGAATGGCGATCATTAAAAAGTCAGGAAACAACAGGTGCTGGAGAGGATGTGGAGAAATAGGAACACTTTTTCACTGCTGGTGGGACTGTAAACTAGTTCAACCATTGTGGAAGAGAGTGTAGTGATTCCTCAGGGATCTAAACAAGAAATACCATTTGCCCCAGCCATCCCATTACTGGGTATATACCCAAAGGACTATAAATCATGCTGCTATAAAGACACATGCCTACGTATGCTTATTGCGGCACTACTCACAATAGCAAAGACTTGGAACCAACCCAAATGTCCAACCATGATAGACTGGATTAAGACAATGTGGCACATATACACCATGGAATACTATGCAGCCATAAAAAATGATGAGTTCGTGTCCTTTGTAAGGACATGGATGAAGCTGGAAACCATCATTCTCAGCAAACTATTGCAAGGACAAAAAACCAAACACCACATGTTCTCACTCATAGGTGGGAATTGAACAATGAGAACACGTGGACACTGGAAGGGGAACATCACATACCGGGGCCTGTTGTGGGGTGGGGGGAGCGGGGAGGGATAGCATTAGGAGATATACCTAATGTAAATGACGACTTAATGGGTGCAGCACACCAACATGGCACATTTATAGATATGTAACAAACCTGCACATGGTGCACATGTACCCTAGAACTTAAAGTATAATAAAAAATTTTAAAAAAGAAAAAATAATAAAAAAGAAAGTTTAATCCAATTTAAAAATTAACTTGTGTACTATAGTTACATATTTAGAGAATTTATTAAGTAAAAATGCCTCTCTTAGTCCAGTTAGTCTTTGTATGGAGAAACACCTGTAGTATAGCTGGATAGTTTATAAAGAAAAGTGGTTTATTTCTCTCATGATTCTGCTGGCTGGAAGACTGGACATATGTTGAAAGCCTCAGGCTGTTTCCACTTATGGTGGAAGATGAAAGGAAGCAGGCATATGCAGAGATCACGTGGCTAGAGAGAATATAAAAGAGAGAGTAGGTTCCAGCCTGCTTTTAATAACCAGACCTCATCGGAGATAACAGAGTGAGAACTCACCCCCACCTGGGGAAGGCATTATTTATTCATGAGGGATCCGTTCCCTTGACCCAACCTCCCCCCAATAAATCCCATCTTTAACATCAGGTGTCTAATTTCAACATGATGTTTGCAGGGGACAAACACACTAACTATAGCATTCCATCCCTGGGTCCCCAAATATCATGATCTTCTCATATAGCAAAATACAATCATCCATTTTCAATAGTCCCCAAAAGTCTTGTTTTAACATCAACTGAAAAGTCCAAAATCCAAAGTCTCATCTGAAACTGAAAGTATGTTTCTTTCAGCTATAAACCTGTAAGTCAGGGACCAACTGTACAGTCAAGTTGTTTTTCTTCAAATCACAATCACTATTTAATTTTAAAGAAAAAAGTCTGAAAGTATCCATAGCTGAATAATTTTTTAGTTGTTATATCGAGCAGAAATGATATTCAAAACAAAAAGGTGGCTATCTCCACTTTCAGTTGAGTTTCACAAGTCCTCTTCCTTGAGTTGGGCGTGGTACTTCCTTAGGCAGTAGCAATGCTTTGTGTGTACTTGCCGTTTCATTACATAGGATACTAAATACATATTTTTAAAAATTGGGGTGGAAGAAAATTGACATTTTTTGTTGTTCATCAAGAATATTCTTAAATGAATCTGCCTTTTAATTTTTCTGAGACTGTTTAGAGGTGGAAAATATGACTACTAGGACAATTTAATGTCACTGCCTAGGTTTGTCTTGAGGTCATCTGCAAATGTCACCACAATGAAAAAAACAATTATCTTAATATTACTATGAAATTAGGTTTGACCTTGCAGAGTACGTAGAAGTACCAGGAATACCCAGTGTACCTGGTCCAAACTTTGAGAACTTCCACTCTAGAGAAGTGCTTCTTAAAGATTAATGTGCATAAAATCACCCGGTGTCATGTTAAAATTCAACGTGTGATTCAATAGGTCTGGAATGGGGCCTGCAATTCTGAGTCTCTAATAAGTTTCCAGATAATGGCATACTACTGGTCACTGACCACAGTTTGTGTAGCAGGGCTCAAGAGTACCCGCCATTAACTATTTCAAAAGTAACTCCAATTTAGACATTTTATTTATTCCTGTGATCAAGTAGATTTAGTATTATTTTGGTGCTTGTACTGATAGTAAATCTATTCATATAGACAAAATTATACAAAAATATAAGACCCTGTTAATAATGTTGAAAATCATTTTAATAAAAATCCATTATTTTTAACTTTATATTTTCTTTAACTTGACCAAACTTTTAAATATTTTATTAATGCATTTATGTAATAATAAGTAACAATAACCATGAAAACACATTTGAGGTGTGAGTGATACTTTTGCTTTTTTTTTTTTTTTTTTTTTGAGATGGGATCTCACTCTGTCATCCAGGCTCAGTTGCAGTGGTATAATCATGACTCAAAGCAGCCTTGATTTCCTGAACCCAAGCAATCCTCTCACAACAGCCTCACAAGTAGCTGGGACTATAGGTGCACACCACAACATCTGGCTGACTTTTTCTTTCTGTGGAGATGAGGTCTTTCTATTTATCCCATATTGGTATGTAACTCCTGAGCACAAGTGATCCTCCTGCCTCAGCCTCCCAAAGTTCTGGGATTACCAACACAAATCACTGTACCCAGCCTTTTTTTTTCTAATACACATTAAATGCTTAATTGTTTAACAAACAAAACGTTGCTCAGGTATCTTCTAAAAATCATCTGTCTTACCAACAGTGGTAGACTTACCAAGTTTTGGGAACATTGAAGTATTTATTCAAGATTGTACTAAAATGTAATAAGTAAAACACAAAAAAAACTCCAATTCTATAATAAAAATCATTAGACTAAATTTGGATGAGAATTTACACTTCTGAGATAGCAGCATTTTCTAGCTAAAATCTCTTCCCATTCAAAGTGTCTACTAGTCCTATGAAAATTTATAAAATGAATGAATATTTATTTTCAATGAATGGGTCCTCTCACTACTCATTTGTCAGGTAAAAATGACAGCAAACTTTCCTCAAACCCCAGCATAAAGAATTGCCAGCCACATTATTGTGGAAAGAGGTGTGATCACTGAAATAGATTGCATTGAGACAAAACACATGGCCTGGCACCTCTCAGTGTATTAGTCCATTCTCACTCTACTATAAAGAAATCCCTGAGACCGGGTAATTTATTAAAAAAAAAATAGAGATTTGATTGGCTCATGGTTCTTTCTGCTGTATAGGAAGCATTGTGTCTTCTGCTTCTGGGGAAGGCCACAGGAAACTTCCTATCATGGCAGAAGGCAAAGGGGGAGCAAGTTACTTCACATGGCCAGAGCAGGAGGAAGTGGGAGGGAGTGGTGTTACACAATTTTAAACAACTATATCTCACAATAACTCACTCACTATCATGAGTACAGCATCAATGAGATGCTGCTAACCATTCATGAAGGACCACCCGCATGATCTAGTCACCTCCCAGTAGGCCCCACCTCCAACATTGGTGACTACAATTGAATATGAGATTTGGGTAGGGACACAAATCCAAAGTGTGTCTTACCACCACTTACCCCTCCCAAATCTCATATCCTTCTCACTTTGCAAAATATAATCATGCTTTCCAAACAGTCCACCAAAGTCTTAACTCATTTGAGCATTAACTTAAAAGTCCAAATTCCAAAGTCTCAGCTGAGACAAGGCTAGTCCCTTTCAACTATGAGCCTATAAAATCAAAAGCAAGATAGTTACTTCCAGGATACAATGGGAGTATAAGCATTGGGTAAAGACTCTTATTCTAAAAGGGATAAATCAGCCAAAAGAAAGGTGCTACAGGTCTCATAAAAGTCTGAAACCCAGCAGGGCAGCCATTAAATCTTAAAGCTCCAAATTAATCTCCTTCGAATCTGTGTCCCACATCCAGGGCACACTGATGCAACAAGTGGGCTCCCAAGACCTTGGGAAGCTCAATTTCTGTGGCTTTATAGGGTTCAACCTCTGTGGCTGTTCTCATGGGTTGGCATTGAGTGCTCATGTCTTTTCCAAGCACAAGGTGCAAGTTTCTGGTGGATCTGTCAATCTGAAGTTTGGAGGACGGTGGCCCTCTTCTCACAGGTCCATTAGGAAGTGCCAGAGTTGGGACTCTGTGTGGGGGTTCCAACCCCACATTGCCCCTCTACATTGCTCTAGTAGATGTTCTCCTTGAAGGCTCCACCCCTGCAACAGGCTTCTGCCTAGACATCAGACTTTTCCATACATCCTCTGAAATCTAGGTAGATGCTCCCAAGCTTCAACTCTTGCGTTCTGCTGTGGGAGCACCCGCAAGCTTAACACCACTTGGAAGCTTCCAAGGCTTATGACTTGTATCCTCTGAAGTAGTGGTCCAAGCTGTACCTAGGCCCCTTTGAGCCATGGGTAGAACTAGAAAGGCTGGGATGCAGGGAGTAGTGCCCAAGGCTGTGCAGGGCAGTGGGTCCCTGAGCCTGGCCCATGAAACTATTCTTCTCTCCTAGGCCTCTGGATGTGTGATGGGAGGGGCTGCCACAAAGTTCTATGAAATACCTTTGAGGCCTTTGTCACATAGTCTTGGTTATCAGCACTTGACTCCTTCTTACTTACGCAAATTTCTGCAGCCTGCTTAAAATCCTCCCCGGACAATGGGCTTTTCTTTTCTACCACAGAGCCAGGCTGCAAATTTTCCAAAATTTTACACTCTACTTCCCTTTTAAATATAAGTTCTGACTTCAGATTATTTCTTTGCTGCTTCGAAATTCCTTCCAGCAGATACTCTACCTAAATAATCTCTCAGGTTGTAAGTACCACAGATCCCTAGGGGAGGAGCATAATCTAACCAAGCTCTTTGCCAAGGTGTAACAAATATGACCATTGGTCTAGCTCCCAATAAGTTACTCATCTCCTTCTGAGACCTCATCAGCCTGGACGTCTCCAACCATATCACTATCAGCATTTTGGTCACAACCCTTCAACAAGTCTCTAGGAAGTTCCAAATTTCCCCTCTTCTTCCTGTCTTCTTCTGAGCCCTCCAAACTCTTCCAACCCCTGTACATCATCAAGTTCCAAAACTGCTTCCAAATCATCAGGTATCTTTATAGCAATGTCCCAGTCGTTGGTACCAATTTTCTGCATTAGTCCATTCTAGCATTGCTATAAAAAGATGCCTGAGACTGGATAATTTATAAAGAGGCTTAATTGGCTCTTGATTCTGCAGGCTGTACAAGAAGCATTGTGGCTCCTGCTTCTGGGGAGGCCTCAGAAAACTTCTAATCATGGAATAAAGCAAAGGGGGAGCAAGTCACTTCACATGGCTGGAGCAGGAGGAAGAGAGGAGGGGATGTGCTAGAGACAAATAACTGGATCTCAGAATAACTCATTCACTATCATGAGAACAGCACCAAGGAGATGGTGCCAAACCATTCATGAAGGACCACCCTCATGATCCAATCACCTCTTATCTGGCCTTACCTCCAACATTAGGGATAATAATTCAACATTTGATTTGAGTGGGGACTCAAATCCACACCATATCAGCCCCCATCAGATGTTTTTTAGTATCCCCACCACTGTTAAACGTCAGGATATCAACAGCTGAATACACTTGTCTGGGATTAAACCTGTTTCTTATGAGTCCCTGCAGGTGTCAGAGGAGGAGACCATAAGCTATACCTGTAAACCTCTGAAAGCCCTCACTACCTATTTAAAAGAATCAACAGTCAGCAAAAAGAGGTAACTTGATACTGCAGGTGGGCATAAGAACATTATTTTTCTTTTCTTACTGATTATGATATGTGTTTTCTGTTGCTTTAGCTAACCACCTCCTCCTAGGAAACATTTACTTTCTCCTTGTTGGGTATAAAGGTCACTCTAAGGCCAATACAGACACCATGCTGCCTCTGTTAATTATGTTTGCTCTCTCAATTAACCTAATCCTGTATGGCTAGGAACAAAGCTCTGCAGTCTGGATCTGTCATCAACATCCCCAGGATGGATAGTTTCATCTTCTGGCACATTCAGAGAATCTCATGGTCATGTTCCCAAACCTCCTAGTTAACCATAGCAATCCCAAAGTACCCAGACCCCTACTTATTATGTGGAAATCTTCCCCACTTAATCGATTCTACCTAACTTCCCCTGCCAGTGTTATCTGGACATGGGAGGTTGGGAACTTGTACCTCCATTGCATTCATGACACTATTATTTGCACCCATTGTTTTGTTAATGATGCAGAAATGGAAGTTTCCTTGAGATGCTCTGATGCAAACCTAGTGGCCATGTTCCCAAAGCTGTGGTGAGGTAAATGGGATCCCACTTGTCAGCAAGGAAACCTTACATAGTGCCTCCTCCAAAGGAATACATGCAAGGGAGAAACAACTGCCTGATCTGGGAAGGTGGAATGACTGTATCCTTCTGGAAAATAAGGGCTGTTCAATCACCCTCATTGGAGTTTGGAAAAAAATATCTCTATAAGTCCCAGATGGCAGTAGAGAATACACATCATACCCCAAGGAGCCTCCATTTGTGCCTCAAATGGACTCATTTTTGTCTATAGCCATGAGTAGGAAGAAGTTCCACCCAGTGACCACTCCTGACTCCTTGGGTAGCCCTCTATTCTTTTAGGAGTAGCTTTCCTTTTTATATCAAAAACATGGAGCAGGAGTGAATGTACATTGGCCACCATTGCTCCTCTGGGGGTCACTGTCTACAACCCCATAATAACTGAAAATACCAGAAATCAATGAGCAATAGGATTAATTCTGGTAGAAATCAAAGCAATAATAGGACTAATGGTCCCTTTGGGTGGCTTTGCCTGCCACTAGTCAACCCCAAGGAATTTGACTTAAGCCCTAGAATCATTGACCACTAACACAGGACAGGGACTAAATGGAATTCAAGAGTCCCTAGACACTTTGGCAAATATAGTCCTTGACAACAGACTAGCATTAGATTATTTGCTGGCTATTCAAGGTAGAGTTTATGTAGTTATTAATAAGATACGCTACACATATATTAAAACTCTGGAAAAGTTGAGATTAACATTCAAAAAATAATTCAACAAGCTACCTGGTTCCACAGATGTAGCCAGGGTTCTGACCCCAACTATATCTGACTATCAAAAGTGCCCTCCAAAGTCTCACCTGTTTTTTTTTTTTTTTTTTTTACCTTCCTAAGATCTTTAACAGCTATCCGGTTACTACTAATTTGAGGCCTCTGCTTATTTAAACTCCTTGTAAATTTTGTGTCTCCTAGAATGCAAAGTTCCATGTCAATATAATGCTAGTAGAAGGCTTCCAACCATCTTGCTTTCTGACCCAGAAAATGAAAACATCCTGCCTTTGAGCCCCTTAGATCAGGTACCCAGAGATTTTTACTCCTCCAATACTCACCAGAGCCAACATCCATAAAATCAGCAAAAAACAGCTACAGAAGCTAGACCTCCATGTTTCTACAATCCCTTAAGATCATGGAGGAATATATAATGTCAGAGGAGGTGATAAGACAGAAATTTGGCATGACTTGTTTCTCAAGACACAGGTCACAAAAACCCCACTGATAAAATAAAATGCAGTAAAGATGCTGGCCAAAACCAGCCAGAATCAAGACAACAATAAAAGCAACCTCTTCTTCTTACTGCTCATTATATGCTAATTATAATGCATTAGCATGCTAAAAGAAACTCATGCTAGTGTCATGACTGTTTATAAATGCCATGGTAATGTCCAGAAGTTACCCCATATGGTCTAAAAGGGGAAGCAACTCTCGGTTCTGGGAATTCCCTGCCCAATTCCTGGAAAACTCAAGAATAATCCACCCCATATTTAGCATGTAATCACATAATAACTATAAATATGGCTTGCCAGCAGCTCAGATGTCACTACTTTGGATGCACTGCCTATGGGTTAGCCCTGCTTCATGAGGTGCAGTCATTCTAGTGTACACTGCTGCTTCAGTAAATCTGCTTTCTTCCACCAGCAGCTCACTCTTGCATTGTTTTCTGAGTGAAGCCAAGAGCCTTCCTGGGCTGAGGCCCAATTTGGGGACTTGCCTGTCCTGTCTCAAAATTATAAGTAGCAGCTTCTTGTAATCATTGGTTGACACACTGTTCTCCTGTGTAACTCCTATGAAGAGAGAAGGATATTCTTTTACCTAGTTCATGGAAGATGAAGGTAGAAAGTCTTAAAAGTACAAGCAACCAAATCAGTAGTTAAGAAGCACAATTGATGTGAGAAGCTTTGATATTACCTTATCTTTAGAGGAAATATTTTACTTCCGTTATCCTTTTTTAATAGGAAAAAGGGCATACAAATGTATTTAACATGTGTACACGGTAGCCTTCAGAATGAAGACTCAACTTCCCAATGATTGAGAGAAACCTATATAATTTTGAGGTTACAGAAAGAATGGGGGCTTAGATTTTAATAAAGTAGGCTATGGGCAGGGGAGAAGAGGCTTGGCAAGCAGCGGTGGTCTTGTTATATTGATGAAGCCACCCTTAGAAAGAATAGATGGTAAATGTCTATTTTTAGACTTTTAAAGGTGTCAGACTCTCAATCTCTTCTGGATCTGGCATAGAAAGGGGAGAGGGCATGGCTGCATTAATGGAAATTCTCTACAGATGCAAATTGTTCCCACTTATGACAGCTTTGCAAGGCCACTTCTGTTAGGACGGCCAAGTGGCATTTTCAAATGCATCAGATGAATATATTTCAGAGATAAAATATTTTAATTTCCCTCAGTCCCTACCCACTTTGAAAGTTAAAATAAGTTTCACATATTAAAATCCAAGTTAACAGCCTTGGAGAGATTTGGGTTAGAGGTTGTCAGATAGAGATAAAGTATTTGAAAGACAAATTTGGGATAAATAGAAAAAAGCAATTTAAATATACAATTTCACATATTCTTTAGTCGATTTCTTATTCCTGAGAGTAGATCAGTTTAGTGAAACAGCAATGTCCAATTCCAGGAGGTGGCATGACAGATTGGCTAGGCCTCTACATACGATGCCAGCAATCAGACCTCTAATGAAATGAGTTTCTATAGAAACAGAAGAAGGACAAAGGTTAATGTTGGAGGATTCAGTCCATTTATAAACTACTTTTTCTAGAGTGTCTGAGACATCTTCATATTGCAGTGGCAATCTGACAGATTCTTTTGGATTTTAGTTGGACCAGGCATTCAAGTGAATTTTCTGAGAAGTCCATACATCAGCAGGCAAGCAGAAAAGTTTATAAGTCATTGTTATTTCCTCCTGAAGTTTAAGTTATCTAACTAGCCTGTAAGACTTTAAGAAAAGCATAGTTTTAATTTCTAGTGACTTCAAGTCAGAAAAATGGGAGGATGATAAAAATTAAAAATCCTTGTTTATGGACTTGTAGTCAGAAAAAAACTTCAGGATTAAGTCCAAATAGTAGAAAATAATAAAAACAAGAAAAAAAGGCTAGAATTTAATAAGAGTTATACCATAGTTTCTTTTGAAACATATTTTTTCTGTCTCAAATTTTCCAATTTTATTAAAGACAAACTCACAGCAGGACCAATTTATATGTAAAATAAGTTTAGTCTTATTGATGGCCTGATTACATGCATAAAGTGAAGTAAGAATAATTATTTGCCATATAGGCTCCTTTTTAAATTGGCTTTGCTACAACATATTTTGTCATAAGGAATCTCAGATTAGACATCTTAAAACCTCAAGCCCAGACAAGGACTTATCTGTGACTGCAGATATTGGTATAAATTGGGTAAAATTCCTCACTTGAGTTTCCCAAATAACTTAGGGTTCCTGGACCTGTCAGCAAGTGACATTCTCTACTTATCCAAGGTCAGAAATCTGTAAAAGAAAGAAAAGGAACCTGTAAAGTAATTGCATGGACAAGGTATGAATCCAGTTTTTTTTAAAGGTCTGTTAGCTTTATAAAGTCAATTTCAATTACTCAAAAATATCCTATTCCAGTCAAAGCCTTGGTGAAATTACCACTGTCTCCAGTTGTGTCCAGTTAGGAAAGAAAGATTTTCTTGAATTTATGCAAATGACTACATTGCCATAAATTAAGAATGCTCATGAATAGTTTCCAAATTCTAGAGAAATCAGGTTGAGAGAAAGAAACATGCTTCAAATTTTGTTCACAGGAATATAGTTTACTCAAGTGTTAAAAGCTGTTAATAGCTAAAAAGAAAAATAAAACTTTCTTAACTGTGAGAAACAGAATCAGCAACATTTTATAATTGAATAAATAAATGTTTTTATTAAAGGGTAAGTAGTTTTGTCTAGGGTTTTTTAGGATTGTTTTAAGTTAAAACCTAAGTTTTGTCCTATCTTACTTTTAACTTAAAACAATCCTAAAAAACATCTAGACCAAATTACTTACCTTTTAATAGAAACCACTGTCCCATAGCTTTTTATAATTTTTAACAAAAAATACATATTTATATACTTTGTATGTATCTAGTAGTTTTAATTATATACATTAATTGTAATGTTAATGCTTAGTAACTTATTTTTAGTGAAAAACTTAGGAGATAAGCAATTATAATCATATACCAGATGCATAGAATAGGACAGAGGATAATGTCTGGGTCTAGGCATTTTCATACACTAAAATTTCAAATTGAAAGACATATGAATTTACAGACAAGCAAATACCAGAAGCAAAGTTTCATATCTTAAAACATTTAGCAGAAACAGTGATGAATTTGGACCAAATGTCTAAATTCAAAATATGTTTTAATTTTATTTTAAAATAATTTTTAATTTAGCTTTATTTACCAAATATTACTAAAGTCATGTGACCTAAAAGGCAATAAAATTGCAACTTTTCTTGCAAAGTATTTGATTTAGGGGCTTGTTTTCTAGGCCAATTAATTAAAGCACTTTCATATATTTTGGTAGTGAAACATCATACACACATCATGTATAAATATACAGACAGACATATAGAAGCAGATCTGATAGTTAGGTGTAAGATTCTTCATTTGAGAATTTTAAAGTTTTTCTTCTCCATTTTAGAACATCATTCTCTCAACTACCCATTCCCTGACTTAAATAATTGTCAGCTAGGCAACCCTAAATTTGCATTTTTAAAAGGACAATTCTTAGCTATAACATGATAAAAAAGTGATATTGTACTCAAAGGAAAAATTGTGTGAGTAAAAGTTTAGTTAAAATGGCCAAGAAAAGCAAACACTCTTACATGTTGATATTTCCTTGAAGATAGATAGTTTCTTTAAATTGGATTACTGGATTTAGAGTGAAGCCTTTAAGAAACAGTGCCAAGAAAGCATGCAGCTTCTAGAGACTAATAAGCAGGCACAGCTGGAAGGAAGACCAGATTCCCAGAAATCAAGGATTTATTTTTACTCTAAATCCTGGGTCCCTAAAAAAAGTAAAACACAATGAGAGTTGACAGTGCTGTGTTTCTACCCTGAATTTCACTTCAAGGACCTTCACAAGAGGCTGGTGGCCAACCCAAAGCCAATTGTCCCATTCTGTATTCAGCCCATCTCTTAACCACTATACAAATCAAAGTTAAACTTCTTCATGATATAAAGTAAATTTTGGTACGCCCAAAAGCCAAAATGTCAGGTAATGAAACACAAAAGAGTGCAGAGATTTAGACCTGAAAAGAATCCACCCATAACTATTGAAACTCCACAAAGAAAACAGAAAAAACCCAAAAATGCATAAGTGGTGTCTATTCTGAGTTCTTTAAGGAGTATAAGTCATTAGAAACCTAGTCTTTTTTTTTAACTTGATACTGAAGATAGCAAAGAGGAAGGAGGAATAGGGTGGAGGATAAGTAAATGAAATAACAATTTTTAAGAAAGGAAGCAAACAGAGAAATCAAGCACATTTTTTTAAAGGTTTCACTCAATTGAAAGAAATTCCCCAAAGCAGAGCTCCAAAAGAGAAAAAGCAGAAAGTCCTTTCAAATATATATGTAGCATGCATATAAGCTTTCAATTAAGCTTACTTTTCACCATAGAGCACTTTACAAAAATCCTTTTGAATATCTTACCAAAGACAACCTCCCAAGTGAAACCAATAAGACTTAACTAAGGTTATGACTTAACCATGGAGGCACAAGGTGTCTCCAAAGTGAAAAATTCATCACAGAAAATAAGAAGCTGTACATGGAAGAAAAAAATATTAATAAATGGATCAAGCCAGAAAGAACTCATTCCTTACCCAGGAATCAAACTTAGGCCACCAAGATACAAGGGCAGGACCTTAGCTATTATAGCTTGCAATAAAATGTTGGTTTAATTTTGTCAAGAGAATTCTTAAGACTAGTTATGACATTATTATATGCTCTTTTAAAAATCTGACTTTCCTATCAGTTGTTTAGAATAAGATCTCTCTAAAATCCTTCCTATTTATCTTTCGGCTACTGAAAATTAGAATTTTCACTGGTGTACTTTATTCCAATAGAGATTCAATCCAAAAGCCTCTTTAAAGCCAAGGTGCCTAGAGAATACATAGAAGAGGTAACCTCATGATCCCCAAAGTTCACTATCAGAAATAGACTTAACATAAACAAAAGATGATAAGACCTTTTAAGATTTAAATCTCCTTAAGAGTTTGACACATTCAGTACAAAAAATGTGCTGCTTAAAAATCTAATGTGTCTCAGACTACCAGTCTTTTCGGACTGGCCAGCTGATGTGAATCCAAAAATTCATGCCATTGGGATGGCAAAGACTAAGAGAGTACCCCCACTTATTCACAAAATCAAGCTTCAAGGATATAAGAAAATACAAGGGGGAAAACTTTATCCAGTTGTTTTTTTTTTTTTTTTTTTTTTTTCAGTTACCTGCAGCAACATTTGTCTTAAGAGAAACTGCTATAGCCAGAATTGCAAAAACTAACAAATCTGCAGGGTCAGCTTGAACAACAGGCTTATAGGTGTTTTAGGCCCATGTTTCACCCTATATTACCTATATTTACAACAGAACAGAGAAAGACAAAGAAAATGGAGCAAAAGACTGCCATTTCAAAGAGGAAAAGATGTCAACAATATGAATTTGTACCATCAAGTACCAAAAGTACACCAGAGTTACTACAACTCAAGATTTGTAGAACAAATCATTTTTCCAATTAATCAAAACATTGCAGATGAGACAGTGATTTTTACCATATTCTCAACTGGAGTACAGAGAGAGAGATAGGCCAGGAGCCTGGCTGATAAGAAATTCTGACCCTTTCACCAGCAGGTCATGTTCCTGGTTTCTCTTCACTGCAGCCTCTAGAAGAGAAGAGCATCTTTGATAATTACTATGTGCCAGAACTGTGGGGACCATAGCCTCTTGGCCCTCTAATGATTCACTAAAAATCCCTGACATAAGGTGGATTGATTAATAAAAGAAAAGGCATACAAGTTTATTTAACGAGTATATATGGGAGCACTCAGAATAAAGACCCCTCATTTTAAGCATCCCTTATATTTGTTTGCAAGGTGCACTACAGCTACATACATACTACAAAATTGAAACATTAAAGAAAGCCCTTTTCATTTAGTGGGAAACTCATTTACTTTTAAAAATATTATTTGTATTAATACATAGTATTTGTACATATTTGTGGTATATATGTGACACTTTAATACATGCATACAGTGGGTAATGAATAACTCGGGATATTTAGGATATACATCACCTTGAACGTTTATCATTCCTTTGTATTGGGAATACTTTAAATTTCTAGCTGTTTGAAAATATAAAATATTTTATTGTTAACTACAGTCTGCTACAGTGCGATCAAACACTAGAACATTTTCCTTCTAACTGTATGTTTGTATCCATTAACCAACCTCTCTTCATACCCTTCTCCTCACAAATATCTTTCCCAGCATCTGGTCGCTATCATTCTACTCTTTACTTACATGAGGTCAATGTTTTACCCCCCACATATAAATGAGAACATCCAATATTTGTCTTTCTGTGCCTACCTTGTTTCACTTAACATAATATCCTCCAGCTCCATCCATGTTGTTGCAAATGGCAAGATTTCATCATTTTAATGTTTGAATAATATTTCATGGTGTATATATATTTTCTTTATTTATCCATTGATAGACATTTAGGTTGATTTCATATCTTAGCTATTGTGAATAGCACTGCAACAAACATGGTGTATTAGTCCATTTTCATACTGCTGTAAAGAAATGCCTGAGACTAGGTAATTTATAAAGAAAAAGAGGTTTAATGGACTCACAGTTCCACATAGCTGGGGAGGTCTCACAATCATGGTGGAAGGTGAAGGAGGAGCAACGGCACCTCTTACGTGATGGAAGACAAGAGAGTGTGTACAGGGGAACTGCCCTTTAAAAAACCATCAGATCTCATGAGAGTTATTCACTATCACAAGAATATCACGGGAAAAACCCCTCCTCATGATTCAATTACCTCCCACTGGGTCCCTCCCACACACATGGGGATTATGGGAGCTACAATTCAAGATGAGATTTGAGTGGGGACATAGCCAAACCATGTCACATGGGCATAAAGGTATCTCTTTGATATACTGCTTTTCTTTCTTTTGGATAAATACCCAGCACTGGGATTGTGGGATCACATGGTAGTTCTATTTTTAGTTTTTGAGAAACATCCATACTGTTTTCCATAATGGCTACACTGATTTATATTCCTATCAAAAATGTATAAGAGTCCCCTTTTCTCTGGACCTTTGCCACCATGTTATTTTTGTCCTTGAATGAACAATAATAACATGCTGGCAAGGGTCCAGAGAAAAGGGTGCATTGAAGGGATGAAATTGTTATCTCGTGGTGGTTTTAGTTTGGACTTTCCTCATGATTAGTGATAAACATTTTTTAAAATATACTGGTTGGCTGTTTGTATGTCTTCTTCTGAAACATATCTGTTCAGGTTTTTTTCTCATTTTAAAAATTAGATTGTTTTGGTTTGTTGTTGTTGTTGTTGAGTTATTCGAGTTCCCTGTGTATTCTGGATATTAGTCTCTTGGCAAATGAAGAGTCTGCAAATATTTTCTCCAGTTCAATGGTTTATCTCTTCACTGTTAATTGTTTCCATTGCTGAGAAGAAACTTTTTAGTTTAATAAAATTCCTTTTTTATATTTTTGTTTTGGTTGCTTGTGCTTTTGAGGTCTTGACCATAAAATTATATCCTAGGTCAATGTTTTGGAGCATTTTTCTTGTTTTTTACTCTAGTAGTTTCTTAGCTTTGGGATCTACCTTTAAGTCTTTAATCCATTTTGAGTTGATTTTGCATATGATATGACATAGTAGTCTATTTGCATTTTTCTGCCTATGAATTTCCAGTTCTCTTGGCACCATTTATTGAAAAGAAAGTTCTTTCCTCAGCGTATGTTTTCAGTACCTTTGTCAAAAACCAGTTGTCTGTTAATATGTGGACTTGTTTCTGGGCTCTCTATTCTGTTTTATTGATCTACATGTCTGTTTTTATACCAATACTATGCTGTTTTGGTTCTTTGGATTTGTAGTATAATTTGAAGTCAGGTAGTGTGATGTCTCCAGCTTTATTCATTTTTCTCAGGATTGCTTTGGGTATTTCAACTCTATGGTGATTCTATATAAATTTCAGAATTCTTTTTCTATTTCTGTAAAGAATGTCATTGGTATTTTAATAGGAATTGAATTGAATATGTAGATTGTTTGGGGTAGTATGGTCGTTATAGGAATATTAATTCTTTTGATCCATAAGCATGAGATGTATCTTCATTTGTTTGTGTCTGCCTCAATGTCTTTCATCAGTGTTTTGTAGATTTTCCTGTAGACATTTTTCACATACTTGGTTAAATTTATTCCTAGGTATTTTTTTCTGTAGCTATTTTGAATGTAATTTCTTTCTTTATTTTTCAGCCTGTTTATTATTGGGGTATAGGCTTTTGTATATTAATTTTATACTGATTTTTGTAGTTAATTTTGTATCCTGCAACTTTACTGAATATATTTATCAGTTTTAAGTATTTTTTTTTATGTGTGGGATCCTTAGATTTTTCTACATATAAGATCATGTCGTCTGCAAAGAGTAACAACTTGACTTTCTCTTTTCAAATTTAGATGCTTTTATTTCTTTCTCTTGCCTGATTGGTCTGGGTAGGACTTCCAGTACCATAGTAAATAGGAGCGCTGAAGATGGGCATTCTTGTCTTGTTCCCATTTTTAGATAAAATGCTTTCAGCTTCTCCCTATTCAGTGAAATGTTACCCGTGGGTTTGCCATGTATGGTCTTTCCACTGTTGAAGTGTGTTTCTTATATACCTTTTTTTTTTTTTAATTATGAAAGGGATGTTGGATTTTATTGAATGCCTTTTGTTCTGTGTTTCTTGAGCTAACCATATGTATTTTGTCCTTCATTCTGTTGATTTAATGTATTACATTTACTGATTTCTGTATGTTGAACCATACTTGAATCCCTGGGATATATTATATATCCCACTTAATCATAGCATATTTATTATTTTTTTATGTGTTTGATTCAGTTTGTTAGAATTTTCTTGAGAATTTTTGTGTCTGTGCTCATTGGGGATATTGGTCTACAGTTTGATTTTTCGTTGTGTCCTTGTCTGCTTTTGTTTCAGGGTAATATTGTCCTTGCAGAATGACTTAGAAAAAAAATCCTCTTCTTTAATTTTTTGAAACGGTTAAAGAAGAATTTGTATTAGTTCTTCTTTGCAAGTTTTGTAGAACTCAGCAGTAAAAATTTATAATTAAAAAATAATTTTTAATAAAAAAATTTAAAAATTTTTAAACTTTATGTATTCTCTTTTTTCTTGGTTAGTCTTGCCAGCGGTTTATCGATTTTTTTTAATACAACTTTTTGACTGGGCCCAGTGTCTCACACTTGTAATCCCAGCACTTTGGGAGGCCAAGGTGGGCAGATCACCTGAGGTCTGGAGTTCAAGACCAGCCTGCCCAACATGGTGAAACACCATCTCTACTAAAAATACAAAACTTAGCTGGGTGTGGTGGGAGGTGCCTGTAATCCCAGCTACTGGAGAGGCTGAGGCATGAGAATCGCTTCAACCTGGGAGGCTGAGATAGTAGTGAGCCAAGATCAAGCCATTTCACTCCAGCCTGGGTGACAGAGTGAGACTCCGTTTCAAAAAAAAATTTTTTTATTCATTTTTTTGATCATTTATGTTATCATTTAGTCTCCATTTCATTGTTTTGCTCTAATCTTTATTATTTATTGTATTTTAATAATTTTTGGTTTCATTTGTTTTTAATTTTCTATTTCCTTGAGGTACAATATTAAGTTGCTTGTTTTCTACTTTTTTGATGCAGGCATTTATTACTATAAACTTTCCTCTTAGCACTGTTTTTGCTATATCCCATAGGTTTTGGTATATTTTGTTTCCATTTTTATTTGTTTCAAGAAATTCTTGGATTTACTTCTTAAGTTTTTCATTGAACCAATGGTCATTCAGGAGCATGTTGCTTAATTTGTATGTATGTACACTTTCCAAAATTTTTCTTGTTATTGCTTTCTAATTGTAAACCATTATGTTATGAGAAGATACATATATGACTATGATTTATTTTCATTAACTTTTCCCTTAGTCTCAAGAACAGCAATTGTCATTTAAGTTCTGGTCCCTTCCCAGCAACAAATAAAAAATATTCAACTGCTTCAGAAAAATACTTTAATATGTATGTTACAGGAAGGAACATAGCGTTAGTACCATTGTTTCTCCCAACATAAAAACACAGCTTTCTATTTTCAGTTATTATGCACTTTGGAAAGAAGATAAGATGCTATGTAGTGGGTTTGTTAATAAAATAACCTGGCTGATAGAAAGTGAACAAATTGCCACAGCCAACTTGCTAGTTTTCAAAGCCTTGGTATACAATGAAATTCAATTAACACAAAAACTATACTGAGCATAATTTAATCTTGATTTTATGATTCTGAAGACACTTAAGAACTTTTAGTGTTCCAGGGTCATCATTATGAACATCGATTCTTATTGGAATGTGGAAGCACAAGGTAATATATGTTTCCAATTAACAAAAGTTTAAACAGGCAACAGAGCTCATTACATTGGTATTTAAAGAGCAGGCAGGTTTTTTTTCTATAATTTGTCCCGTGCTATACCTAAAAGGAGAATATTTTGTGAAGTACTTGGTTTTGATGGGCTAGTTAATGTCATTACTCATTCATTTATTCAAATAAATTTGGGCCGGGCGCGGTGGCTCACGCCTGTAATCCCAGCACTTTGGGAGGCCGAGACGGGCGGATCACGAAGTCAGGAGATCGAGACCATCCTGGCTAACACAGTGAAACCCCGTCTCTACTAAAAATACAAAAAATTAGCCGGGCATAGTGGCGGGTGCCTGTAGTCCCAGCTATTCGGGAGGCTGAGGCAGGAGAATGGCGTGAACCCGGGAGGCAGGGCTTGCAGTGAGCCGAGACCGCGCCACTGCACTCCAGCCTGGGAGACTGAGAGAGATTCCGTCTCCAAAAACAAACAAACAAACAAATTTATTGAGAAATTAGTATGTTGCCATTTCTGAGGTGGAAGAAAAGTGATAAAGATCAATCTTTGTAACATATGCACTCATAGATAGAAATAAGTTAAATAATATGTTGTTTAAGATACTCTTAATTTTTTTGTTTAGTCTATCCTGGGAACAAAATATATTAACTGTAATTGTACTTGGAAAAGGTCTGCCTGGTCTATGTAAATAAATGGCATTTGGAAATTATAAAACCGTAAAAATGTCTGATAAGGATAATTAGAATATCTGCCTTAGAGTGTCAAATACATTCTGTTTACTATATGATTACTTGAAATATAAATATAAAATCTAAACAGTGATGTTTTGAGATATGCTCCCAAGTTCCTTAAAACTGAAGATCGGGAAGAATTTTGACCTGTGTGACTATGAGAATAGTGTCTGCTCTCATATATCCTTGATCAGTCTCTTCCAAGTTCTTCTGATCTTTTGTGTTTTCTGTCATGATTTTCTCTTACATTATGTGTGCTGCAATTGACCTCTTTTCTATTTAATGATCCTTATACCAATTTGTAGATTTTCAATCGTTACATATGAGATTGTTTCAATCTCATTTAAAGTATATATTCTTATTATGTCTAATTTCCTGAAGATCTTGTTTCACTTTAATAGGTCTAGCAAAATGTTAGTTTCCTCCTTCCTTGATAGCTATGGAAGTAACCTGATTATTTATTGACAGGATTATAGAGCTCTCTGCATAACCCAATCACTCCTTCCTGCTTGAGACTTCTAAAGTTTGTGTTCTTCCTCAAATTTCCACAATATGAGTTTTTGAAAGTTACAATATATATATTGTGTATATATGTAAATAATATATGTTTATATATAGATATACACACACACATATATGTATGTATATATATTCTGCGCCCTTCTTGATAGAGAGCAAGCTGAAAATGGGTTCTAAACTGACAAGCGTCTTTCTATTCATTAGTGGTAAGGATTATTTTCTGTATCACAGTATTGAATATCATTTTGTAGCTCAGGAAATTCCTGTTTAACCATGTCACACTCAATACTACATAAGACTTATAAGAATAGTCCCTGCTCCCAAGAAGAAATAAGACTCATCAAATATTAATTGAAAATATCTGCTATGGTTACATACAGATAGATATAGATGTGAAACTTACTTTTACTTTCTTAAAAAGGATGGTGTGGAAATTTTCTTCAGTTTTTGAATCTGTGAAAGGGTGTATAATTCTAGCATTACTATATAGTATTATTTATCTTGGGGATAGTCAAGGTAGAGTGTGGATTAAATGTATATCTCGGGTTGACTGCTAAGTTGTGCTGTGGTAGTTAATTTAGCACTAATAATCTCAGAGGATCGTGGAAGGTTGATTAGAAGGGTATCATTCTGGTAGACCATAGATCATCCAGGATAGATCATAGGTAGATTGATAGATACAGCATATACATAGGCCCAGAATTTCACAAAACAAATTTGTTCATTAACAAATGTTGGTACTTTGCACAAGGAAAATAAAATCATAGTGACAGATATAACAGTTAAGAATTCATGTTCTGAAATCAGATATGCTTGGTTTGAATCCTAGAACTGCCACTTACTTTAGTACCTTTGATACCTTCCTGTATTCTATGTAAGAAAGAGGAAATAATATGTGCCACATAGGAGTACTATAATGATTCAATTAGTTAACATAGGCAAAGTACTCTGAACGGTGGCAAACATTTAGTCATTGCTCAATAGGTAGTAGCTCTATCATTTATATGCAGTCAAAACATAATGAGATTTAAAATTACCATAGAAAGATTAGATTACTTGGCTTTTGCTACAGACAGGAGACAAAGATATTAGGAAAAGTATGGGGAATGGCAACCAACAACAAGGGAGGGTAGTGGGACCTAAAAATTATTTCCTCCTCATTATCTGCTGAATTTTTATAAAACCAATTAATGTATGTATGTATGTATGTACCTATGTATGTATTCATTCAACAGTTATTTATTAAGCACATACTATGTGCAAATACTATGCTTGGTACAAAGACCTAGCCTATAGCAGTGACACAAGGCAGGTATTTTCTCTACTTGCATGGAACTTACAGTCTAGTGAGGAAAAATATTAGAGCTTAGAAGGACCTTAAAAGATTTGTCTTGTCCAGTACTTCCAAAAATATGCTTTATAAAATGTTATTGTCCTATGAGATATTAATAGCTATTTGATAAATAAATATGTTTCAATGATCAAATTTGATAAACAATGTATATTATATCACCCTAATTGGAGATTTATAAAACATATTGAGTACATCAAATGCTCTGAGAAGTCCTGCAATAAACTTGTTTACCTTGGTTTAATACATCATTTCTAAAATGTATTTGATTACAGAAGCCCTTTATTTTTGTACAAAATCTGTGAATGTCACATGAGACATAATAGACTTCATAGAACACAATTTGAAAAGGTCTGGTCTAATTCAATAATTTTATTTTGCAGTTGACATAAAAATCAAAGAAAATACCTAGCTTAATTAATATTGCACAGTTTCTCATTGGAAGGGTAGAGGATGAGAAGTTTGGTCCATGCTTTTTCCACCTTACCATGAAGCTTCCTAGGAACGGAATTTTCTTTGTTTTACTTTATTATAGACACTTACAAAGAGATTGTGAAGCATAATTTATTTTGTGAATGCCTACATCACAAGTTTAACTTTAGATAATTCAGAGGATAAATTACATAATCAACATAAGGTCTGTCTTGAAAGCTAGAATAATCTAAAATATAATTGTATAAATTATCAGTTATAAAGTATACATTTAGTATTTGTGTATTATACTTTGAATTATGTAAAACATTTTGTATTAGTCTGTTCTCATGCTGCTAATAATGACACACCCGAAGCTGGGTAATTTATAAAAGAAAGAAGTTGAATTTACTCACAGTTCCACGTGGCTGGGGAGGCCTCACAATCATAGTGGAAGGTGAATGAGAAGGAAAGTTACATCCTTACATGAGAAGGAAGTTACATGGCTGCAGGCAAGAGAGCATGTGCAGAGGAACTGCCCTTTTATAAAATCATCAGAACTTATGAGACTTATTCACTATCACGAGAACAGCACAGGAAAAACCTGACACCATGATTCAATTGCCTCCCACTTGGTCCCCCCATGACTCGTAGGGATTATGGGAACTACAATTCAAGGTGAGATTTGGGTGGAGACAAAGCCAAACCATATCATATTTGATAGTATAATTATAAATTATAATAACTTAATCTATAACTCCACATTGATTGTCCAAAATAGATCATCTGGCTATCTTAAAATAGGGGATTTTTAACAAAACAAAGTTTTAGTTTTATATTTTGGGGAATACAATCCCTCCTGTCCACTAGTGTGTTTGGTTATCTTGTTGAGGAATTAGCACAAATCAACCTCTCACTGTATTCCTGCAAGTGCAAAAAGAGTTTTTAGTAGAGGAATTCTGCTTTGTTTTGTTTTGCTTTTGTTTTTTATAGACAGTGGAGACAAAAAAAAATGGTAGTTATTTGGTGCAAAGGTGTACAATTAAGCAATTTGCTATTTTCTGTTTTCTGACCTCTTACAACAAATACTAGTCACAAAAGCTAACTATATTTTGATTATTTTTTTAAAAAATAAATAAAACAAACATAGAAAACAAAAAAGGGGGTGGGGATGTAAAATAGCTCAATAATAAAGAGAACAGCAGCAAACTCTCACTGCTCTTTGAAAAAAATAGTTTTAACAAAGTAAGCAGGAATCATTTTCTCTGGCTGAATGTTGATTCCCCAGCGTGCTCTCAGTAAGTAATTAGAATGGCCCACTGAATATCAGCATCAGCTTGTTTATTCTCATTATTTTATCATTTTAAAAACCCTCTAGGTGATGAGACATGCAGTATAGAACATAATTACCATTATTAGCATACTAATTGGACACAAAAATAGGCCAACTACAAGGTAGCCAACTGAATAATTTCACGTTAATCAAACACCATAGTGAATAAGCCTATTGTTAAATTGACAGCTACCATAATTGGCAATATTTTGCAGTGAAATATCAGAATTTCCTTGTAATATCTCTCCAGTGTCATATAATTTAGTAATTTCCCATGTTCCAATCTTCAAATGTGTATGTCTACCTCAGGTTCAAGAAAACATTATGATCAGAATTCTAGTCTTTTAACAACTGGCCTAAGTGTTTAAAGAGAAGCTTTTTAGCCTTCAGCAAGAGATATGAATGATAATGCAACAATACAGCTACCAATTTAGTCACTTATTGCTGAGTATCAAGTTTTATTTCTAAATATGCATTTTTCTAAACTCAAAAGACTCTTGACCACATTAACAGTATCTTGCAGATGGTATATTTTATAAAAGTGCAAATATGATACCTAGTGGTAATCATTTACTTAACATTGTAACATTTTTTATGCATTATCAGTTATAAACTCTAATTGTTTCACGCCAGCAGTATTTTTTTTCTTTTCTGCAGATAAATAAAGTTGGTCTAAACTAAAATTCTTGCTCAATAGAAGAGACTGTATATGAGGACTCAGAATGGATGGAAGATGCCCTTTTTCTGGCCTCCTGTGATAGCACTTTTATTAGATACACTGCCTATTCAAGTATCACTAATGGCCACCAGCTGCCCTCAGGAGCTGGCTCTCAATTGCGCACCATTTAAGACCTTCCACAATATGACCCCAACAGGTCTTTTACACTAATCCCCAAAATAAACCCTCTGTTCTCATCAGCCAATCTCCTCTATGCCAACCATACATGTTCTAATTCTCTTATGTACATCTCCTGCACATGTTTTCTCCTCCTGGATAACCTACACCCTTCTTTTACACTTCTAAAAATCCTCTTTTTCTCAAAGATTAAAGCAAACCCATCCTTCATGAAGAATTTCTTGACTACTGACACCAGGAATCATCTTTGCTATTTCTAAAGTTATATTATCTTTACTATTTATTTTGCACACATTTATTTACTCAGAAAACACTGAGCACCTATTAAATGCCAGCCACACTATTTGGCAACAAAAGAACAAAAATGCCTCTGACATAGTTCCTTCTTGAAGTTTCACAAGTATGGTTTTATCAATTGTAATTGCTTCAACTTCACTAACTTTCTTTCCTCCTCCATCATTCATTTTCTTTAGTAGCATCTTTGACTGATTCCTCTATAGCATGGACATCTGTTCCTATATTGGCTTCTGGACCTGGGTCTGACACTGAACTTTATTTTGTTCCTTCAATTGTCTGTACTTGTTTTCCCATTTATAAAATGAAGGAGATGAACTAGGTTAATAGTCTACATATTTAGCTGGACTTAAGAATCATTTGTGTAGCATTTTAAATTTACAAGGGGTTGGATTAGAGCAATGTTTCCCAATTTTGGCTGCACATTAAAATTCTATAGGAAGTTTTAAAAACTGTTGAGCCATCCACAAAGAACAATTTATTCAATTTCTGGGGTGTCAGTACTTTCTAAAAGGCTAACCTAGGTAAATTTAATGTGTCAGTGTTTTCTAAAAGGCTAAACCAAGTGAATTTAATGTACAGTTGAGAACAACTGAACTTTCTGATTCTGATTTGTAGGGCCTTATGGTTTAAAAAACATTAATTTATAAGACTTTAACAAGTCCATAACATTGACTATTAAGAAGGCAGTAACATTAATGTGTGGAGCAAGGCATTTTTAAAAATGTATTTCAGGACGTGGTGAAACACTAATCTATGACAATTTTGAAAAAAGAAAATGTAACATTACCTTTATGTATTATCAGGCTTAATCAAAATAACTGTTTTCTAAGTTAACACATGGCCTAATTCACTTAGGAGATTAAATAAAGATTAGACATTTAATTGTGACTTATGAAAGAGATATAGGATTCAAGAATAGGCACAAATCCCATTTCCAACAGAAAGCACTGAACTTTTGCAACATTTCACTCTTGGAGTTTAGCTTTTTGTCATCTATTTGTGTTACATTAATAAAGAGTCCTTGGATGAGTCTTTGGCCTGAACATAGCTCTGCAGCTAGATCAGACCTAACTTATAAACCTCATAGAAGAGAGCTGTGAAATGCATCTCACAGCTAGCTATAAGAAGTGTATCAGTTATGATGTTGGCCCAAATGCTATAACAGATATCTAGAATCAAAGTGATAGTCGCTTAGAGGCAATAAAATTTGTTTTATTCTCATGCAAAGTTTGTCTTTGTAATCCAGGGCTGATATGGTAACTCTAGAACTATTATAGACCCATGATACTTCAAAATTGCTGTATTTACAGCCTAAAAATGCAGCTTTCACCTTTTGGCCTGAAATGGCTGCCTCAGCTCCCACTTATTGTATTCACATCCCATCTAGCAGGAAGGAGAAAATGTGAAAACTGGGGAATATTATTTATCCTTAAGGGGAACACCTCAGCTATTGCACACATCACTTTTCTCACATCTCATGGCCAGAACTTAGCCATGTGGCCAGATGTTGCTATAAGTGAGGCTTACAAATGTGCTGTTCAGCTGAAAGGCAGTATGCTCAAATAACAATTTTGCTAGTACATAAGAAGTTGGGGAAAATTGTTAATTTCTGTCACAGGCAGAACATTGTAATAACTTGAACAATTATTTCCTTTACTCAGGTCCTTCAGTGTTCATAGCTAAGGACAGAGGACAGATTAACTATTTCCTTCCTCAGCTGGGCTCCCTACTCTCCACACCCACATTATTATCACCTATAAAGTCAACTTCACTACAGTCTCTGAAACCAATTTTATCTTTTTTTTTTTTTTTTTTTTTTTTTTGCTACTCATCAAACTCTTTTTTCTTTTGGAGCAATCCTACCTACTACTAATGAAGTTGTTGGGTCTAGGTGACTTAACTTTTCTGATTTTTGGCAGGTGGTACATGAACAAGTAGCTTAAGATCAACTAATTTGATTCTCCAACTTGAGACTATGAATATAAATCAGGTGAAATAAAGAAGTAGAAATGCTTTAGAGTTAATTTGGCATATGTCAGTGGTAACTTTTATGCTATCAGTGAAATCCAGTATTCAGTAGTGACTATAGTGATAGTGTTGCCCTAACTAGGTTTGACCTTGGCTGTATTTCTTGTTTTCTTTGGTTTCTGACCTTTTTCCTAGCTCCGTAGTGGGGAGTTACTGTTTAATGAATACAGAGTTTTAGTTTTGCAAGATGAAAAATGTTTCAAGATGGATAGTGGTGACAGTTGCTCAGTAATATAAATGTACCTAATGCTAATAAATTGTACTCATAAAAAAGGTTAAGATGGTAGAGTTTATATGTATTTTACCAATTTTTTAAGAAATACAGAAGAAATAAAAACATTTTCAGGTTTAACAAAATCTGAGGAAGATTGTTACCAACAGACCACCTTTCCACAAAAAGCTAAAGATGGACCGTAAAGTTGAAACAAAAAGTCAGTAACTAGAAGTTGTACAAAGAAATAAAAAATCTCCACTGAAAGCCAACATTACTATATTTTGGTTTATAATTGAACTTTTTATCTCTTTAATAATATAAAAGAAAAATCCATAAAAAATAATTATATTGGGCATACAATACAAAATACATGATTTGTGACATCAACATAATGGAGGAGCAGATCTTATTAGAAGCAAAATGTTTGCTAATGAAGCTAAGTTGGTCTCAATTGAATCTGGATTGTTATAAATGTAAGATGTTAATTGTGATTCCCATGGTAACCATTAGGAAAATATCTGAAAAATGCACTCAAAAGGAAATGAGAAGATAACAAATGATACATTTAACAAAATCAACTAAACATAAAAACGTATTGGAGACAATGAGAAACAAAAAAGGTATAACACACAGAGAAAATAAATAGCAAAACAGCAGAAATAAATCTTTCCTTAACATTATATTTTTGGAAATGAATTAAACTCTTAAATCAAAAGTCAGAAATTGGCAGAATTGAGTTACATTAAAACATGATCCAACCGTATGCTGTCTACAAGATTCACTTTAGATTATAACTACAAATAGGTGGAAAGTGAAAGAATAAAAAAAAAGTCATGAAAATAGCAACCAACAGAGAACTAGAGTACTATATTAATCTCAGCCAAAATAGATTTAAGGCAAGATCTATTGCAAGATCAAATAAATACATTGTATATTGTAAGAGTCACTATAGTAAGAAAATATAACAATTATAAATATATTTGCACCAAACTTCAGAGTCACAAGATACATAAAGTAAACATTGACAAATTTGAAGGCAGAAAAGAGAGTTATAATAATTGGAAACTTCAACGCCCTATTTTTCATAATGAATAGATAGTAGGTTGGGGAAGAGTTAGTGAACTTGACTAACAGTATAAACCAATCAGATCTAATAGACATATATCAAACATTCATAGTACAATAGCAGATACACAATTCTCTCAGAAGCAAATGGAATATTCTCTAGGATAAACCACATTTTAGAACACAAAACAAGCCTCTACAGATTTTAGGTAGATATCATACAGAGTATCTTCTCCGGCCACAATGGAATGAAGCTAGAAATGAATTATAGAAGTATAAGTAAAAAATTCACACATATGTCAAAATTAAACAACATAGTCTTGAACAACCAATGGGTCAAAAAAAGTATTCACAAGGGAAATTAGAAAACACTTACAGATCGAGGCCAGGTGGGGTAGCTCATGCCTATAATCCCAGCACTTTGGAAGGCTGAGGTGGGTGGGTCACTTGAGGTCAGGAGTTTAAGACCAGCTTTGCCTACATGGTGAAACCTCGTCTCTATTAAAAATACAAGCCAGGCTTGGTGGCAGGAACCTGTAATCCTAGGTACTCGGGAGGCTGAGGTGAGAGAATCTCTTGAATCCAGGAGGTGGAGGTTGCAGTGAGCCTAGATCGTGCCAGAGAAAGACCCTATTAAAAAAAAAGAAGAAGAAGAAAGAAAGAAAGAATGGAAAGAAAGAAAAAGAAATAGAAGAAAGAAGAAAGAAAGAAAGAATGAATGAAAGAAAGAAAGAAAGAGAAAGAAAGAAAAGAGAGAAAGAAAGAAGGAAAAGAAAGAGAAGAAAGAAAGAGAAAGAAATGAAAGAAAGAAAGAAAGAAAGAAAGAAAGAAAAAGAAAAAGAGAAAAAGAAAGGAAAGAGGAAAAGGAAAAGGAAAGGAAAACACTTAGAAATCAATAAAAACTAAAACAAACATATCAAAACTTATGAGATTTAGTAAAGGCAGGACTCAGAGGGAATTTTACAGCAGTAAATGCCTACATTAAGCAAAAATAAAGGTCTCAAGTTAGTACCCTAACTATGCAGATTAAGGAACTAAAAAAAATAGAAGTGCAAGTTAAACCCAAGGATAGAATAAAAAAAATTATAGCTGAGATAAGTGAAATAGGTAATGGAAAAACAATAGAGAAAATCAGTGCAACCAAAAGTTGGTTCTTTGAGAAGACCAACAAAAATGACAAATCTCTAGCTAGACTGGTTGAAAAAAAGGGAAAAAAGATACAAATGAGTAAAATAAGAAATGATGTTGGGAGCATTACTATTGGGACTCTACAGATATAAAAATCAATTGTAAGACAATACTGTGTATAACAGTATGTAAGCAAAATAGATGACCTAGATGAAGTGGACAAATTCTTAGAAAGACATAATTTGTTAAAACTGACTCGAGAAGAAATGGAAAATCTGAAGAGTCCAATAATAAATAACTGAATCAGTACTAACTCCCTTTTCTTGTTCCCAAAGTAAAGCCCAGAAACATGTGGCTTTCCTGGTAAATACTATCAAACATTTAAAGAATTATTGCCAATCCTTATTAATCTTTTGCAAATGATACAAGAGAAGGGACTACTTTCTACTTTCTAACTAATTTCATGAGGCAATCTTTTTTTTTTTTTTTTTTTTGAGACTGAGTCTCACACTATTGCCCAGGCTGGAGTGCAGTGGTGTGATCTCGGCTCACTGTAATCTCAGCCTACTGGGTTCAAGTGATTCTCCTGCCTCAGCCTCCCAAGTAGCTGGTATTATAGGCGCCTGCCACCATGCCCAGCTAATTTTTGTATTTTTAGTAGAGATGAGGTTTCACCATACTGGCCAGGCTGATCTTGAACTTCTGACCTTGTGATCTGCCCACCTTGGCCTCCCAAAATGCTGGGATTACAGGTGCGAGCCACCGCACCTGGCCAGGCTGTCATTATTCTGATGCAAAAACCAGGTAAAGTCATCACAGAAAATTACCCATCAATATCACTTATGAATATAGATACAAATTCCTCAAAATATACTTGAAAAAAGACTCAAAAGCATGTAAAGAGGATAATATCACCATAACTAAGTTAAATTTATCCCAGGAATACAAGGATGTTTTAACTTAAGAAAATTAATAGAATGAAGAACAAAAAAGCACATGATCATCCTGAGTGACAGACAACAATCATTTGACAGCATTAAACAACTTTTCATGATAAAAACACACGGAAAACTAATACTGTAAGGAAATTTTCTCAACATAATAAAGGGCTTTTTTCAAAAACCCATGGCTAACATCCTATTCAATGATGTCATACTGAAAGTTTTCCTCCTAAGATCAGGGACAAGACAAAGATGTCCATTTTTATCTCTTCCATTTAATATTGCACAGAATTTCTAGACAGAGCAATTAGGCAGGGCAATAAAAAAAATTAAAAGCTTCCAAATTATAAAGAAAGAAGTAACTTAGTGTGTCCACAAATCTTGAAATATCCACTAAAAAAAACTTTTTAATATAATTAAGAATTTATGCAAAGTTCCAGGGTACAAGATCAGTATACAAAATCAGTTCAGTTTCTATGCACCAGCAATAAACAATCCAAGAAATAAGTTTTTAAAATTTCTTTTTACAATTTAAAAAAGTTTTAAATTGTTAAAATTTAGTAACAAATGTAACTAAGACATGGAAACACTTGTATGGAAACAACAACACAACATTGCTGAAAGATGTTAAAGACCTAAATAAATGAAAAGAAATTCTGTTCTCATGGATTGAAAGACTTAATATTGTTAAGATATCAATAAAACCCAAATAAATCTATAGTCAATGTCTCTATCAACATCTCAATGCCTTTTTTTCCAAAAATGAATAAAACTGATCATTAAAATCACATAGAATTGTAAGGGTGCCTGAATAGCCAAAACAGTCTTAAGAAGGGACAGTAAAGTTGGAAGAATCACATTTCTTAATTTCAAAACATACCCCAAAGGTAACTGGCATAGGACAGACATCTAGACCTACGGACTAGAACTGACTATCCAGAATCCACTCATATATCAATTACCATTGATTTTCAACAACAATGCCAAGTTCATTCAATGGGGGAAATAACAGTGTGTTTAACAAATTTTCATAAGAGAGCTGCATATTCACTTGCCAAAGTAGACACCTATGCCACAGCAGATATAAAAATTAACTTGAAATGTATCAATGACCCAATTTTAAGAGTTAAAATAATAAAAATCCATTAGAAGAAAACATAGGGGTAAGTCTTCATGGCTTTGGATTTGGCAATGGTTTTTTAGATATGACACCAAAAGCATGAGCAACAAAAGAAACAAATAGATAATTTGGACTTTATCAAAATTTAAAAATTTGTGCATGAAAGGACATTATCAACAAAGTGAAAACCAACAGAATAAAAGAAAACATTTGTAATACCAATTAAGAATCTAGTATCAAGAATATATAAAGAAAAATAAGACAAACATTCCAATTAAAAATGGGACTAAAACATAAAAGATGCTCAATATCATTAGTCATTAGGAAAATGCAAATCAATATCACAAGCAGATACTGTTTTACTCCCATTAGGATAGCTATAAAGCAATGAAAGTAAGTGTTGACAGAAATGTGGAAAATTTGGAACACTCATACATTGCTATCAGAATGTCAAATGGTTTTCTCACTGTGGAAAATAATTTGGTAGTTCCTCCAAAAGTTGAGCATAGAATTACCACATGACCCAGTAATTCTACTTATAGCTGTACACTAAAATAATTTAAAATAGATACTCAAACAAGTGCATGTAAAGGCATCTTCATAGCAGCACTATTTACAATAGCCAAAATGTAGAAACATCCCAACTGTTTATGAATAGAACAATGAAAGACGAATTGTGTTATGTACACACAAGGGAATATTATTTAGCCATATAAGTAAGTTAATCTCTGATACCAGTTAAAGCATGGATGAATCTCCAAAACGATATGCTAAATATTAGAAGCCAGGCATAAAAGATCACATATTGTATGATTCTATTTACATGAAATATCTATTAGAGGATGAAAAAATTCATATAGAGGGCATACAAATGGTGGTTTCCAGGGCCCTGGGACAGGGGAGAATTGGGAGAAACTGCTTAATGGGTGAGGTTTTTTCCTTTGGAGTGACAGAAATATTTCAGAACTATATAGAGGTGGTGATTGCATGAAGTTGTGAATGTAATAGATGCCACTGAGTTGTTTTTAATAATGGTTAATTTTATGTTACATAAACCTCACCTCAATGAATTATTTAAAAAATAGTTTTGTACTTTAGAAGGAAGTCTTCTACCATTATTCGTAGTGAGTGCACTGAATTAAAAGAGGAAGTATCTATCTGAACATTTAATATTTTCCATGTCACTGGATAGGTAAGCAGGCAAAAAATATATAGTTATGATTTTGGCTAAAATTATTGATCCAGACACCTACTACTCAATGGTTACGGAGAAAAAATATGGTCAGAATTCAAGTGATATCTTGTATTTTTTTTCTCAAAAAAATATATGCAGTGGTAAAAGTTAATGGAAAATTACTCTAACAATTTAAGCTAACAAACCATAATGAGTAATATAAAAAGAGCAAGAACAACTTATCATTCTTTTCAGTGGCGGAGGTAGCAACATCCAGTGTTTAACAACAGTGGCAGTGATATCTTAATCATGCTGCTCAAATGGTATGGCCTAATTTGTAATTCCTGCCACCTGGCTTCTTTTGGTACTTGCCTGTTCTCCCAAGTCTGATTATCCAATTTTGCAGCCCTTTTCTGCCTATAATGATCAAAGTAACTTCCTGTCGTTTGCCACTAAGAAACCTGATTGGACAATAGTATCTGCACTCTCCCAACCTAGGCTGCCATCAAACTCCAGATTTTAGTGTTTAGCTTCCCTCTTTGCATTTCCTCTAGTCAGTTACTTTTACATCTATTACCCACTTTCCTCCTTATGTCCTTACTTTCGGAAACTCTTTGGTATGTAATGCTTAGATCATTTCTCTTCTGTCCCCCTGGTCCTATTGAGTGCTCAAAATATAGCCCCCCAGGGGGCAGGGGCAAGGCCCTGGAGAAAATGGAACAGGGTGCACTAACAGATATTGTACTTACACACACACACAAACACACTCACGACTCCACTTCCCTACATGTAGTCCTACATAATGGAAAAACTGTTGATTTATACTTCTCAATGTTCATGTATATTTAAGGACACTTTGTGCACTGCCAAATCTCTATTAAAAATGATATTAATACGTGGCTCACACCTGTAATCCCAGCACTTTGGGAGACCGAGGTGGGTGGATCACCTGAGGTCAGGAGTTCGAGACCAGCCTGGCTAATATGGTGAAACTCCATCCCTACTAAAAAAAAAAAAAATTAGCTGGGCGTGGTGGCAGGCACCTGTAGTCCCAGCTACTCGGGAGGCTGAGGCAGGAGAATGGCATGAACCTGAGAGGCAGAGCTTGCAGTGAGCCAAGATAGTGCCACTCCACTCCAGCCTGGGCGACAGAGCAAGACTCCATCTCAAAAAAAAATGATATTAATACTTCAGGTAACCATTAGTGGCAATAAAAATCTGACAATACTCTAGACACTTGGAATCCAGTAGAATAAAACCAAATCAATCAACCAAACAAACAAACAAAATAGGAAAACTTTCTGAAGCCACTTTCTCTTCCACTTACAGACAAAAACTTAAATATGGCCAACAGTTGATCAGGTCACAGAAAGGTTTCTTAAACATCTGTTGTAGCTGAAACTGTGTCTATATCAGAGTCTCTTTAAAACAGTAGTGTCTTTTGAGATATTATTAAATACCCCAAGATAAAAAGGAATTGTATTTTAAAAGCTTGAGAAATGCTGAGTTTAAAACTGTACAACAGTTGTTCTTACTCTAAAATTTATCAAAGTATTTAATATATTAGTGTGTGATATAAACACCCAGGATAGGAGTGGAATATTCAGCTGTTTCTTAAATATATTTGATGATTTTTTTTCTTACACAGTCCATTAATTGAGACCTATTGAAAACACTTGTGCTCTGATGAATATGATTTGTAAAGTCTATGTGATTTTAAACAACTACGTAGCATTTTTCCCTGCTAAAATGACTGACCCTTTTGATACTGGAGAGAAAGAATACCAGAATAATGTCTGGGATTTACCCTAAAAAAGAGAAAACAGAGCCAGGTCTTCCCCTCTGAGTACCTCCATCCATCTACTTTACTCAGAGGTTTCTGTGATGCAATTGCTGCAAAAATAAAAATAAAAAAAAATTAAAAAAAATCCATTCTGTTCTCTCGTACTCTCATGCTGTTTCGCCATTCAAGGGGTGGAGTCTATTTTCCTTTCTTCTTGATATTAGGTAGCCTTGTGACTTCCTTTGATCAACAGACTGCAGTGGAAGTGACTCTGTACCAGTTTTAAACCTAACCTGTAAGACTCTTAGTAGCTTCTGATTCCCCCTCTTAGGAGCTAGCCATCATACAAAGAAGTAGGTGTACCCTGCTAAAGAGAAAAGCTATTTTGAGAAAAACAGGTCCTGGAAAACTAGAGACTACACTGGGAAAGAGAGAGTCCAAGGTAGCCCACAATCATTCCACACAACCGAGCTGAGGCACTAAATATATGAGTAAGACCATTTTGTATCTTCCATCTAGAGTTGAGCTTCTCAAGCCAATACTATGTAGAACAGAGACTATCTGTCCCTTCTGAGCCCTACCCAAATTCCAGAATCGTGAGTAAGTAAATGACTTTTACTGTTTTAAGATAGTAAGTTTTGGGATATATTTTTATGTAGCAATAAACAGCTGAGAGAATTACTTTTCCTTTTAGAAAATTAAGTGGACTGATCAGCTCTACTCCTTTAAAATATCCACTGTTTTATCCAAAAAGTGATATTTTGCCACAAAATTACTAGAAATAAAATAATTTGAACAGTAAGATGGCTTCGTTAATAGAAAGTAACAGTATAAAATGGACGTTCATGAAAATTAAAGCAGACCTTTCCAAATTGTCTATCTGGCCAGCAAAGGATTCTTAGCTAATAGGGGAAATAAGGACTATTAAACTTGGAACCAGATAATAGTATTTCTATGACTAGCCTCATATATATAGAAAGAGAAAGCAGATGATTTCTCACACAAGGAGGAGATATGAGCCTATGAGAGATTCATCTCTTTTTATAAGCTCAGTTAATCAAATGCCTCTTGTTTGAGGTTTCTATTAATGAAAACACTCTCTGACATGGGCAATTGTCCAATATGCTTTAATACTTAACGTCTTCAAGCAAGGAACTCAAGTGATTTTTCAGACCAGTGATTTCTGTTTCACAGCGCACTTTGAGAAGCTGATAAACAATGTCAATGCACTTCCTAGAAAAATGTCCATACAGACATTCCCAATTTTGCATTTGATTGTAGAGGATTCATAGAATAGCTTAACTCCATTCGTATTGCCTCTAGTCATCCATGGAGTTTGGGGATGGTTCACAAACCACAGATTAAGGAACCCTTTCTAAGTCTGAGATAAATTTTGCTTAAATACGGTTATCTAAAATAAAGGAAAATGAGAAAAATTGAGTGTGTCAAGTGGCACAATTCTTTTGGAAGATAATTGTATAATGTACGTAGAAGGCTTTAGAATTTCCCAGTAATAATTCTACTTCAATCAGTGTTATTTGTAAGATCAGTAATTTGATTAGAATTTATATAAAAATACTGTCATCACCGGGCGCGGTGGCTCACTCCTGTAATCCCAGAACTCTGGGAGGCCGAGGTGGGTGGATCACGAGATCAGGAGAGCGAGACCATCCTGGCTAACATGGTGAAACCCCGTCTCTACTAAAAAATAATACCAAAAAAAAAAAAAAAACAATTAGCCAGGCATGGTGGCTGGTGACTGTAGTCCCAGCTACTTGGGAGGCTGAGGAAGGAGAATGGTGTGAAGCCGGGAGGTGGAGCTTGCAGTGGGCTGAGATCACACCACTGCACTCTAGGCTGGGTGACAGAGCGAGACTCAGTCTCAAAAAAAAAAAAAAATACTGTCATCACAGGCCAAAAAAATGGTAAATATTCACAAAAATAATTGGTTAAATAAATTATAAAACCTTTATACTGTGAAGTATTATGCAGCTATTAAAATGGTATTTCTGAAGCATTTTAAATGGCATGAAAAGATGTTCACACTATAATGTTAAATGAATAAAATGAGATAAAAACCTGTAAATACACTAAAAGATCCACTATGTTTTATATGCCATCTTTGTGTGTGTATTCAAATTTATATAGAGGTCTACGCAATATTGAAATTAAATATGTCAAAATATTAAAATTGATCTCTGGATGATGAGATTATGGACAATGGAATTATAGGTAATTTAAATTTAATTTTATTAGTTTTATTTCTATGTATTTTTATAAATTAATTTAGTTGTACATTTGAGTAACATTGGATTGAATAACACTGGCGTACACACACACACACATAAACATCAACACTGAGAGAGAAAGAACAAGGCCCCATCCCCAGACATTTTGATTTTATAATTCTAGAGTGGGCCCCAAACATCTGTATCAAAACAAAAAAAAAGGAAATACTTTGATTCTAATGCATAGACAAGGTTTACAAGCTTTGCTTTATGGTATTTTCTATAATTTAAGTGCATCGTTTGTATGAGAAAAATATATATATATAGTGCTCTGATCATGTTGAAAATAGGGAATATTCTCAATACCAGCCTGAGGAAAACATGCAAAAGAGGCATAAATATGTCTTTAGTATTGTTCTTAATACCCCTTTTTGAATCCTTATCTTGCTCCTGACTGTCTTTGTCACCTTTACCCATGTAATTTTCTGGAAAAATCAGGACTCCATGCTCAATACACTGTTAACAAACCATGTGAGGACTCAGCAGAGAATGTTTTATGCTGGGATTTCCCAATGTATATTGCCCAAAACATTAGCTCTGCAGGTTGTTGTTAGTGGGAATTTCATGAAAATAGGATTTCAAAACCAAATATGTTTGAGGAATACTGAGTAAAAAAAAAAGTAAACATATATATTTACTAAAACACTCCTTAAAAGATTTAATGTACTCCATACCTTGCAAGTCATGTTGAGGATCGAAGAGTGGACTATAATGTGCAAGATTTCCAAACTTATTTGGCCACGGAAACCCTTTTTATAAGGAATATATTGAGATACTAGAGTTCCAAAGAAGGCAATTAGAAAAGCAAAGCATTAATTTCTGTTTCTCCCTTTTTCTCAAAACTAATTTTATTGGAAACTCTGAAAGTCTGCAAACCTTTATATTTGAAAGGAATAAATGTGTTATGGTGCAACTTTGGTTCCTATGAGAGGTTAATGAGGGAGGTGTTGTGGAGCAGGAGACTTCCCAACTACTGTGAGAATTACACTTAGAGCCTTTCATGCTGATTCACAAGATTAGCTCTGGTGTTTGGCTTTCACCTGTAATCTAAACAACTGAGGTCAATACAGTCTGTGTCCTAATGGAATATTTGCATAGAGAAAAATGTGTTCTTGTTTGCACTCAAACCAGAGTTAAGCTGTTTAGTGCTGTGTGGTGCTATAAGGCCACAGATTGCCTCAAGCTAGCTCCCTTGTGAGTCAACCTTGAAGAATTTGCTTTCCACATAAGAAAACAGATTTTAAACATGAGGAATAGACCTGTTAGTTCTAATTCTCTGCCAAATGAATCACCCTCTGAGTAATCACGAGATCAAATGAGAATACCTCCTAACTTTCCCCCAGGGACAAATAACCACAGAAAGGAGAGAGATGCTAAAATTGAGTTCCCCTGAAAACTGTCTGAATACATGCCCTTAACAACGATTTTTGACATATTCTGTAGGTGTTTTCTAGTCTTACATGTCAACTCAGTGATATCTAGACTTGCACTGAATCAATGGAATTGGCATAAGAGTTTTCTTGAGTCCAGGTATATAGATACATGAAATATGTAGGTATTTATCCTTTTATGCTTGGCAGAGTAAGAATGGCATTCCTAATTTTTTTAATTATATTTGAAGTTCTGGGATACATGTGCAGAACATGCAGGTTTATTACATAGGTATACACGTGCTGTGGTGGTTTGCTGCACCCATCAACCCATTATCTACATTAGGTATTTCTCCTAATGCTATCCCTCACCTAGCCACCCACCCCCCAAAAGGCCCTGGTGTGCGATGTTCCCCTACCTGTTTCCATGTGTTCTCATTATTCAACTCTCGCTTATAGGTGAAAACATGCAGTGTTTGGTTTTCTGTTCCTTTGTTAGCTTGCTGAGAATGATGGTTACCAGCTTCATCCATGTCCTGGCAAAGGACATAAACTCATCCTTTTTTATGGCTGCATACTATTCCATAGTGTATATGTGCCACATTTTCTTTATCCAGTCTATCATTGATGGACATTTGGGTTGGTTCCAAGTCTTTGCTATTGTGAATAGTGTTGCAATTAACAGACGTATGCATGTGTCTTCCTAGTAGAACGATTTGTAATCCTTTGGGTGTATCCTCGGTAATGGGATTGCTGGGTCAAATGATATTTCTGGTTCTAGAACCTTGAGGAATCACCACACTGTCTTCCACAATGGTTGAACTAATTTACACTCCCACCAATGATGTAAAAGCGTTCCTCTTTCTCCACATCCTCTCCAGCATCTGTGGTTTCCTGATTTTTTAATGATTGCCATTCTAACTGGCATGAAATGGTATCTCATTGTGGTTTTAATTTGCATTTCTCTAATGACCAGTGAAGAAGAGCTTTTTTTCATATGTTTGTTGGGTGCATGAATGTCTTCTTTTTAGAAGTGTCTGTTCATATCCTTTGCCCACTTTTTGGTGGGGTTGTTTTTTCTTGTAAATTTGTTTAAGTTCCTTGTAGATTCTGGATATTAGCCCTTTGTCAGTTGGATAGATTGCAAAAATTTTCTCCCATTCTGTAGGTTGCCTGTTCACTCTGATGATAGCTCCTTTTGTTGTGCAGAAGCTCTTTGGTTTAACTAGATCCCATTTGTCAATTTTGGCTTTTGTTGTCATTGCTTTTGTTGTTTAATCATGAAGTCTTTGCCCATGCCTATGTCCTGAATGGTATTGCCTAGGTTTTCTTCTAGGGTTTTTGTGGTTTTAGGTCTTATCTTTAAGTCTTTAATCCACCTTGAGTTAATTTTTGTATAAGGTGTAAGGAAGGGATTGAGTTTCAGTTTTCTGCATATGGCTAGCCAGTTTTCCCAACACCATTTATTAAATAGGGAATCCTTTCTGCATTGCTTTTTTTTTTTTTTTGCCAGGTTAGTCAAAGACCAGATGGTTGTAGATGTGTGATGTTATTTCTGAGGTCTCTGTTCTGTTCCATTGGTCTATATCTCTGTTTTGGTACCAGTACCATGCTGTTTTGGTTACTATAGTCTTGTAGTATAGTTTGAAGTCAGGTAGCATGATGACTCCAGTTTTCTTCTTTTTGCTTAGGATTGTCTTGGCTATGTGCGCTCTTTTCTGGTTCCATATAAAATTTAAAGAAGATTTTTCTAATTATGTGAAGAAAGTCAATAGTAGCTTGATATTAGACAGATCAATGAGACAGAAAATTAACAAAGATATTCAGGACTTGAACTCAGCTCTGGATCAAGTGGACCTAATAGATATCTACAGAACTCACCACCCCAAACCAACCGAATATACATACTTCTCAGCACCACATAACACTTATTCTAAAATTGACCACATAATTGGAAGTGAAACACTCCTCAGCAAATGAAAAAGACCGGAAATCATAACAAACAATGTCTCAGACCACAGTTCAACCAAATTGAAACTCAGGATTAACAAACTCAACTCAAAACCACACAACTAAAAGGTAACTGAACAACCTGCTCCTAAATGACTAGTAGGTAAATGAGGAAATCAAGGCAAAAATAAATAAGTCATTTGAAACCAGTGAGAACAAAGACACAATGTACCAGAATCTCTGGGACACAGCTAAAGCAGTGTTTGGAAGGAAACTTATAGCACTAAATGCCCACAGGAGAAAGCGGGAAAGATGTAAAATGGACACACTAACATCAAAATTAAAACAACTAGAGAAGCAAGAGCAAACAAATTTAAAAGCTACCAGAAGACAAGAAATAACTAAGATCAGAGCAGAAATTAGGGAAATAGAGATGCAAAAAAAAAAAACCCTTCAAAAAATCAAAGAATCCAGGAGCTGTTTTTTTGAAAAGATTAACAAAATAGACCACTAGCCAGACTAATAAAGAAGAAAAGAGAGAAGAATCAAATAGACACAATAAAAAATGATAAAGGGGAGATCACTTCTGATCCTATAGAAACATAAACTACCACCAGAGAATACTATAAACACCTCTACACAAATAAACTAGAAAATCTAGAAGAAATTGATAAATTCCTGGACACATACAGCCTCCGAAGACTAAACCAGGAAGAAGTTGAACCCCTGAATAGACCAATAACAAGTTTTGAAATTGGGGCAGTGATTACTAGCCTACCAACGAATAAAAGCCCAGGACCAGATGGATTCACAGCCAAATTCTACCACAGGTACAAAGAAGAGCTGGTACCATTCCTTCTGAAACTATTCTAAACAATAGAGATAGAGGGACTCCTCTCTAACTCATTTTGTGAGGCCAGCATCAACCTGATACCATACTGGCAGAGACACAACAACAAAAGAAAAATTCAGTCCAATATCCCTGATGAACATCGATGTGAAAATCCTCAATAAAATACAGGCAAACTGAATCCAGCAACACATAGAAAAGCTTATACCACAATCAAGTCGGCTTCATCCATGGGATGCGAGGCTGGTTCCATGTACACAAATCAATAAACGTAATCCATCACATAAACTGAACCAATGACAAAAACCACATGATTATCTCTACAGATGAAGAAAAGGCCTTCAATAAAATTCAACACCCCTTCATGCTAAAAACTCTCAATAAATGAGGTATTGATGGAATGTATCTCAAAATAATAAGAGGTATTTATGACAAACCCAAAGCCAATATCATACTGAATGGGCAAAAGCTGGAAGCATTCCCTTTGAAAACTGACACAAGACAAGGATGTCCTCTCTCCACTCCTATTCAACATAGATTGGAAGTTCTGGCCAGGGCAATCAAGCAAGAGAGAGAATAAAGGGTATTCAAATAGGAAGAGAGGAAGTCAAATTGTCTCTCTTTGCAGATGACATGATTGTATATTTAGAAAACCCCATCGTCTCAGCCCAAAAACTTCTTAAGTTGATAAGCAACATCAGCAAAGTCTCAGGAAACAAAATCAATGTGCAAAAATCATTAGCATTCCTATACACCAATAATAGACTAACAGCCAAATCATGAGTGAACTTCCATTTACAATTGCTACAAAGAGAATAAAATAACTAGGAATACAGCTTACAAGGGATGCGAAGGACTTCTTCAAGAAGAACTACAAACTTTGAGGAGAACTGCTCAAGGAAATAAGAGAGGACAGAAACAAATGGAAAAACATTCCATGTTCATGGATTGAAAGAATCAATATTGTGAAAATGGCCATACTTCCCAAAGTAATTGATACATTCATTCCTAATATTATTTTTTGCTATAGCGTTACAATCATGGGTGATAACCTAAGGCAAGGGGCATGGTTGTTTATTAATATATTCTGTTATAAGCAATGTGTTTTATTTAGCAATTAAGTGAGTTTACCTTTTTCATTACTTGTTAGTAAAATACACAAAGGCTCTTAAGCCTAGAAATTTCTCTTTTTTCTATAGGAAACAAATTAATTTTAAAAATATTAAAATCTGTAAAATTAAGACACTTATTTTGAGCTATTCTTATGCATACATTTTATACACATACATGCATATATATACACCTATATATTCTAGAAAATTATGTACCATTTAAAATATATGGATGTGGTTCTGATTGCTTTCTGGATATACACAATCAATAGCTTTTTTGCTGTAATGTTATCATATACCTTTGTCTCTTACAGAAACATACATAGGAAAACAAATGCCTTAGGAAAACAAGATCAGTCTTTGTGAGGGAGGTGGTGGCAGATTGTTCAGAACCTGATGAAAGACACAAAGAACAGACAATACTGCTTGGTGTACTTTCTGACTGCAGAGACTTTCAGGGAGTTTGAGACTGAAGTATTCTGTTTTGCAGAAAGCCAGGGTGTGTCTATTTCCACTCCAACTTTGCTCCATCCTAAAATGGAGAGAGACTGGCTAAATAATCTTGTTTTCTCTTCCTTGACACAGAAAGACTACATCCCCCTATCTTCCTTGCCATAGGGCCAAGACAATTTGACCAAGTTTTGGCTTACTAAATGTCCCAGGCAATCTTTAGGATGGATGGAGGATCAGACGAAAATAATTTAAATCTCTGAGACAAGGTTTAAAAGAGTGCTAATCAAAATAACCTGTTTACCTGACGTGAGAGAGAAACAAACTGCACTATTATTAAGTCACTGAGGGGCTTGGAGCCAAGATGGCCAAATAGGAACAGCTCCAGTCTACAGCTCCCAGCATGAGCGATGCAGAAGATGGGTGATTTCTGCATTTCCATCTGAGGTACCGGGTTCATCTCACTAGGGAGTGCCAGACAGGGGGTGCAGGACAGTGGGTGCAGTGCACCATGCACGAGCCGAAGCAGGGCAAGGCATTGCCTCACTCAGGAAGGGCAAGGGGTCAGGGAGTTCCCTTTCCTAGTCAAAGAAAAGGGTGACAGACAGCACTTGGAAAATCAGGTCACTCCCACCCCAATACTGCGCTTTTCTGATGGGCTTAAAAAATGGTGCACCAGGAGATTATATCCCTCACATGGCTCAGAGGGTCCTATGCCCACGGAGTCTCGCTGATTGCTAGCACAGCAGTCTGAGATCAAACTGCAAGGCTGCAGTGAGGCTGGGGGAGGGGTGCCCGCCATTGCCCAGGCTTGCTTAGGTAAACAAAGCAGCCAGGAAGCTCGAACTGGGTGGAGCCCACCACAGCTCAAGGAAGTCTGCCTGCCTCTGTAGACTCCACCTCTGGGGGCAGGACACAGACAAACAAAAAGACAGCAGTAACCTCTGCAGACTTAAATGTCCCTGTCTGACAGCTTTGAAGAGAGAAGTGGTTCTCCTAGCACACAGCTGGAGATCTGAGAACAAGCAGACTGCCTCCTCAAGTGGGTCGCTGACACCTGACCCCCAAGCAGCCTAACTGGGAGGCACCCCCCAGTAGGGGCAGACTGACACCTCACACGGCCGGGTACTCCTCTGAGACAAAACTTCCAGAGGAAGGATCAGACAGCAGCATTCGCGGTTCACGAAAATCCAATGTTCTGCAGCCACTGCTGCTGGTACCCATGCAAACAGGTTCTGGAGTGGACCTCTAGCAAACTCCAAAAGACATGCAGCTGAGGGTCCTGTCTGTTAGAAAGAAAACCAACAGAAAGGACATCCACACCAAAACCCCATCTGTATATCACCATCATCAAAGACCAAAAGTACATAAAACCACAAAGATGGGGAAAAAACAGAGTAGAAAAACTGGAAACTCTAAAAAGCAGAGCACCTCTCCTCCTCCAAAGGAACGCAGTTCCTCACCAGCAATGGAACAAAGCTGGATGGAGAATGACTTTGATGAGTTGAGAGAAGAAGGCTTCAGAAGATCAAACTACTCCGAGCTACAGGAGGAAATTCAAACCAAAGGCAAAGAAGATGAAAACTTTGAAAAAAATTTAGATGAATGTATAACTAGAATAACCAATACAGAGAATTGCTTAAAGGAACTGATGGAGCTGAAAGCCAAGACTCGAGAAATACATGAAGAATGCAGAAGCCTCAGGAGGCGATGCGATCAACTGGAAGAAAGGGTATCAGTGATGGAAGATGAAATGAATGAAATGAAGTGAGAAGGGAAGTTTAGAGAAAAAGGAATAAAAAGAAATGAACAAAGCCTCCAAGAAATATGGGACTATGTGAAAAGACCAAATCTACGTCTGATTGGTATACCTGAAAGTGAGGGGGAGAATGGAACCAAGTTGGAAAACACTCTGCAGGATATTTTCCAGGAGAATTTCCCCAATCTAGCAAGGCAGGCCAACATTCAGATTCAGGAAATACAGAGAACGCCACAAAGATACTCCTCGAGAAGAGCAACTCCAAGACACATAATTGTCAGATTCACCAAAGTTGAAATGAAGGAAAAAATGTTAAGGGCAGCCAGAGAGAAAGGTCACGTTACCCTCAAAGGGAAGCCCATCAGACTAACAGCGGATCTCTAGGCAGAAACTCTACAAGCCAGAAGAGAGTGGGGGCCAATATTCAACATTCTTCAAGAAAAGAATTTTCAACCCAGAATTTCATATCCAGCCAAACTAAGCTTCATAAGTGAAGGAGAAATAAAATACTTTACAGACAAGCAAATACTGTGAGATTTTGTCACCACCAGGCCTGCCCTAAAAGAGGTCCTGAAGGAAGCACTAAATATGGAAAGGAACAACCAGTAACAGCCAATGGAAAATCATGCCAAATTGTAAAGACCATCAAGGCTAGGAAGAAACTGCATCAACTTATGAGCAAAATAACCAGCTAACATCATAATGACAGGATCAAATTCACACATAACAATATTAACTTTAAATGTAAATGGACTAAATGCTCCAATTAAAAGACACAGACTGGCAAATTGGATAAAGAGTCAAGACCCATCAGTGTTTTGTATTCAGGAAACCCATCTCATGTGCAGAGACACACAGAGGCTCAAAATAAAAGGATGGAGGAAGATCTACCAAGCAAATGGAAAACAAAAAAAAAGGCAGGGGTTGCAATCCTAGTCTCTGATAAAACACACTTTAAACCAACAAAGATCAAAAGAGACAAAGAAGGCCATTATATAATGGTAATGGGATCAATTCAACAAGAAGAGCTAACTATCCTAAATATACATACACCCAATACAGGAGCATCCAGATTCATAAAGCAAGTCCTGAGTGACCTACAAAGAGACTTAGACTCCCACACAATAATAATGGGAGACTTTAACACCCCACTGTCAACATTAGACAGATCAATGAGACAGAAAGTCAACAAGGATATCCAGGAATTGAACTCAGCTCTGCACCAAGCGGACATAATAGACATCTACAGAAGCCTCCACCCCAAATCAGCAGAATATACATTTTTTCAGCACCACACCACACCTATTCCAAAATTGACCACATAGTTGGAAGTAAAGCTCTCCTCAGCAAATGTAAAAGATCAGAAATTACAACAAACTGTCTCTCAGACCATAGTGCAATCAAACTAGAACTCAGGATTAAGAAACTCACTCAAAACCGCTCAACTACATGGAAACTGAACAACCTGCTCTTGAATGACTACTGGGTACATAACGAAATGAAGGCAGAAATAAAGATGTTCTTTGAAACCAATGAGAACAAAGACAAAACGTACCAGAATCTCTGGGACACATTCAAAGCAGTGTGTAGAGGGAAATTTATAGCACTAAATGCCCACAAGAGAAAGCAGGAAAGATCCAAAATTGACACCCTAACATCACAATTAAAAGAACTAGAAAAGCAAGAGCAAACACATTCAAAAACTAGCAGAAGGCAAGAAATAACTAAAATCAGAGCAGAACTGAAGGAAATAGAGACACAAAAAACCCTTTGAAAAATTAATGAATCCAGGAGCTGGTTTTTTGAAAGGATCAACAAAATTGATAGACCACTAGCAAGACTAGTAAAGAAGAAAAGAGAGAAGAATCAAATAGATGCAATAAAAAATGATAAAGGGGATATCACCACCGATCCCACAGAAATACAAACTACCATCAGAAAATACTACAAACACCTCTATGCAAATAAACTAGAAAATCTAGAAGAAATGGATAAATTCCTCGACACATACACCCTCCCAAGACTAAACCAGGAAGAAGTTGACTCTCTGAATAGACCAATAACAGGCTCTGAAATTGTGGCAATAGTCAATAGCTTACCAACCAAAAAGAGTCCAGGACCAGATGGATTCACAGCCAAATTCTACCAGAGGTACAAGGAGGAACTGGTACCATTCCTTCTGAAACTATTCCAATCAATAGAAAAAGAGGGAATCCTCCCTAACTCATTTTATGAGGCCAGCATCATCCTGATACCACAGCCGGGCAGAGACACAACCAAAAAAGAGAATTTTAGACCAATATCCTTGATGAACATTGATGCAAAAATCCTCAATAAAATACTGGCAAACCGAATCCAGTAGCACATCAAAAAGCTTATCCACCATGATCAAGTGGGCTTCATCCCTGGGATGCAAGGCTGGTTCAATATACGCAAATCAATAAATGTAATCCAGCATATAAACAGAACCAAAGACAAAAACCACATGATTATCTCAATAGATGCAGAAAAGGCCTTTGACACAATTCAACAATGCTTCATGCTAAAAACTCTCAATAAATTAGGTATTGATGGGACGTATCTCAAAATAATAAGAGCTATCTAGGACAAACCCACAGCCAATATCATACTGAATGGGCAAAAACTGGAAGCATTCCCTTGAAAACCGGCACAAGAGAGGGATTCCCTCTCTCACCACTCCTATTCAACATAGTGTTGGAAGTTCTGGCCGGGGCAATTAGGCAAGAGAAGGAAATAAAGGGTATTCAATTAGGAAAAGAGGAAGTCAAATTATCCCTGTTTGCAGATGACATGATTGTATACCTAGAAAACCCCATTGTCTCAGCCCAAAATCTCCTTAAGCTGATAAGCAACTTCAGCAAAGTCTCAGGATACAAAATCAATGTACAAAAATCACAAGCATTCTTATACACTGATAATAGACAAACAGAGAGCCAAATCATGAGTGAACTCACATTCACAATTGCTTCAAAGAGAATAAAATACCTAGGAATCCAACTTACAAGGGACGTGAAGGACCTCTTCAAGGAGAACTACAAACTGCTGCTCAATGAAATAAAAGAGGATACAAACAAATGGAAGAACATTCCATGCTCATGGGTAGGAAGAATCAATATCATGAAAATGGCCATACTGCCCAAGGTAATTTATAGATTCAATGCCATCCCCATCAAGCTACCAATGACTTTCTTCATAGAATTGGAAAAAAACTACTTTAAAGTTCATATGGAACCAAAAAAGAGCCCGCATAGCCAAGTCAATCCTAAGCCAAAAGAACAAAGCTGGAGGCATCACACTACCTGACTTCAAACTATACTACAAGGCTACAGTAACCAAAACAGCATGGTACTGGTACCAAAACAGATATATAGATCAATGGAACAGAACAGAGCCCTCAGAAATAACGCTGCATGTCTACAAGTATCTGATCTTTGACTAACCTGAGAAAAACAAGCAATGGGGGAAGGATTCCCTATTTAATAAATGGTGCTGGGAAAACTGGCTAGCCATATGTAGAAAGCCGAAAGTGGATCCCTTCTTTATACCTTATACAAAAATTAATTCAAGGTGGATTAAAGACTTAAATGTTAGACCTAAAACCATAAAAACCCTAGAAGGAATCCTAGGCATTACCATTCAGGACATAGGCATGGGCAAGGACTTCATGTCTAAAACACAAAAAGCAATGGCAACAAAAGCCCAAATTGACAAATGGGATCTAATTAAGCTAAAGAGCTTCTGCACAGCAAAATAAACTACCATCAGAGTGAACAGGCAACCTACAAAATGGGAGAAAATTTTCACAACCTACCCATCTGACAAAGGGCTAATATCCAGAATCTACAATGAACTCCAACAAATTTACAAGAAAAAAAACAAGCAACCCCATCAAAAAGTAGGTGAAGGACATGAACAGACACTTCTCAAAAGAAGACATTTATGCAGCCAAAAAACAGATGAAAAAATGCTCACCATCACTGTCCATCAGAGAAGTGCAAATCAAAACCACAATGAGATACCATCTCACACCAGTTAGAATGGCGATCATGAAAAAGTCAGGAAACAACAGGTGCTGGAGAGGATGTGGAGAAATAGGAACACTTTTACACTGTTGGTGGGACTGTAAACTAGTTCAACCCTGTGGAAGTCAGTGTGGCGATTCCTCAGGGATCTAGAACTAGAAATACCAGCCATCCCATTACTGGGTATATACCCAAAGGACTATAAATCATGCTGCTATAAAGACACATGCACACATATGTTTATTGTGGCACTATTCACAATAGCAAAGACTTGGAACCAACCCAAATGTCCAACAATGATAGACTGGATTAAGAAAATGTGGCACATATACACCATGGAATACCATGCAGCCATAAAATGATGGTTCATGTCCTTTGTAGGGACATGGATGAAATTGGAAATCATCATTCTCAGTAAACTATCACAAGAACAAAAAACCAAACACTGAATGTTTTCACTCAGAGGTGGGAATTGAACAATGAGAACACATGGACACAGGAAGGGGAACTTCACACTCTGGGTACTGTTGTGGGGTTGGGGGAGGGGGGAGGGATAGCTGTAGGAGATATACCTAATGCTAAATGATGAGTTAATGGGTGCAGCACACCAGCATGGCACGTGTATACATATGTAACTAACCTGCACATTGTGCACATGTACCCTAAAACTTAAAAGTATAATAATAATAAAATAAAATAAAAAATAAAAAGTCACTGAGAGATTTGGGGGGTTGTTTTTTACAGCAGCTAGTATTTAACTAGGATATTACATTAATTAAAGAAGGACCCAATCAAAGTCTAAGGCTAAGATGACCACCTAAATCTGAGACCTTGTTGGGTGACTGACATTGCTTGCAGTTTTTCAGCCCTTTGTGCTCACATTGGATTTAAACCGAGGCTTAGATAGTATCATACATGTTAGCAGTAGACAAATTCAGAGCTTTTGGAATTTGTTTATCATCCCCTGTATCAATTACGTAGGGTTTTCCAGAGGAACAGAATGCAGAAGATGTCTATTCATATATCTATGTCTATGTCTATATCTATCTAGAGAGAAAGATAATTATTTTAAGGAATTTGATCATATGACTGTGGAGGCTGGCAAGAATAAAATTTATAGGGAAGTCCAGCAGACTAGAAACAGGCAGGAAAGGCCAGGCACAGTGAGTCATACCTGTAATTGCAGAATTTTGACAGGACAAGGTGGAAAGATAGCTTGAGTCCCAGGAGTTTGAGACCACCTTGGGCAACATAGTGAGACCCTTTCTCTATGCAAAAGTAAAAGAAAAATTAGCCAGACATGGTAGTTGCAGATACTCAGGAAGCAGAGGTAAGAGGATTGTTTGAGCCCAGGAGGTTGAGGCTGCAGTAAACCACGATCATGCCCAGCTTGAGCGACACAACAAGACCCTATCTCAAAAAAAAAATTTTTAAATTAAAATTAAAAAATTAAAAAACTCAGGCAGGAGTTGATACTACAGACTTGAAGGAGAATTTCTCCTCAGGGAAATTTAATTTTGCTCTTTCAGCTGAGTAGATAAAGCATACCCACATTTTTTAGGGTAATCTTTACTCAGAGTGAACTGATCATACATGCTAACCACATCTACAAAATATCCTTCAGAACAACAGTTAGATTCGTGTTTGGTTAAATAACAGAGGACTGTACCCTAGTCAAATTGACACATAAAATTAAGCACCACAGAGTATCCTATGTCAACTTGGCCTCCATATGTATCTCCTTAAAACATTGGTAAAATGGCCCTGCATTTTCATTTCCTCAGTCAACTGATCATAAGGAACTCTCCATGAAGCCGTAAGGATGAGCTGGGAGAGGGAAGATAATGTAGCAGGAAGGGAAACCATAGGTGTTTGAATAACTTCTTCATGTAACTTACTTATTCATTTAGAGTATAGTTGAGCCTGAATTGGTATATACGTCCTCTATTGGATAAGGACATATTGATGTGCATGCCCACATTTATGGCTTGATGCATTAAACCATATCCAGTTCTTGGTAAGCAGCTAAAATTGCATGGTAATTTGTTGACCTGTGGTTAAGCATTTACTCTCTACTAAGGCCCCAGTAATAAGCCAAAAGCTTCTTCTCAAAAGTAGAGTAGTTATCTACAAAGGATGGCAAGACTTCACACGAGGAATGGGGTATTGCTTTAACAGAGGTCTATGCTGTGATTCAGATATAGATGACTGCCAAAAATTCCAAACAGCATCTCTATCTGCCACTGAAACTTCAAGAACAATTGGATCTGCTGGGTCACATGGCCCAAGTGGTAGAGCAGTTTGCACAGCAGTCTGGACCTGCTGCAGAGCCTTCTCTTGTTTTGGGGCCCACCCAAAACAATCAGGCTTTTTGGGGTCACATGGTAAATGAACTGGAGTAACACACCCAAATAGTGAATATATTATCTCCAAAATTCAAACCGGTCCACTAGACATTGTGCCTCTTTTTGGTTTAGAATGGGCCAGATACAACAAAGTATCTGAAACTGTAGAAGTATCTTAAACTGTGCTTTTCACTGAGCTGGAAAGCACATGAATTTTTTGTTGGATTTATTTCTCACCCTCTGACTTGTAAATGCTTATCAATAAATCTGAAAGAGTTGATCCTTCTTGTTCACTAGGCCCAATCAGCATAATATTATCAGTGTAATCGATCAGCACTGTCTTCTGGAAGGGAAATGTGATCAAGGTCTCTGAGGACTAAGTTATGATATAGACCTGGAGAGTAGATATACCCTGAGGTAGAACAGTATATTAGCTTGATAGGGCTTCCATAACAAAACAACAGAAACTGGATGGCTTAAACCAAAAAATATGTACTTTCTCATAGTTCTGGATGCTAAATACCCAGGATCAAGGTGTCAGTGGGTTTGCTTTGCTCTAAGGCCTTTCTTCTTGGCTTGCAAATTGTTGCATTTTTGCTGTGTACTTACATGGCCTTTATTTCTGTGTGTGTGCATTCTTGATGTCTATTATTGTATCCAAATTTCCTCTTCTCATAAGGACACCAGTCAGATGGGATTAGAGCCAACTCCAATGACCTCATTTTACTTTCATAAACCCTATATCCAAATATAGTCACACTCTGAGGTACTGGGGGATCAGGGCTTCAACATATAAATTTTGGGAAAACACAATCCAGCCCATATCAGATAGTTTAGGTATATTGTAAACTACTTCTTGTGGTCTTTACTAACAGGTGATGAAAAAATCATTTACTAGATGTATTACTCAGGGTTCTTTGGACAAACAGAACCAATAGAATTTAGACCACTGAGTTACATGAGCATGGGCTTATTGTTGCACTTATTTTGTTGTATTATGAATTCTTTGATCAGAAGCCATGTTGTGTGGAATACCATAATGGTAGAGAAGGCATTTTATAAGTACACAAATGGCAGTTTTTGCAGAAACATTGCCTGAAAAAACACAAATCAATATCTAGAGTAAGTATCTATTCCAGTAAGAACAAAATGCTGTCTCTTCCATAACGGAAGCTGACTAGTGTAATCAACTTGCTGATCACTCCGTAGAATGGTGTGCTAAAGGAAACTCTATATTAGTCTTAGCTGATTTCATATTGGGCACTCAGCAGTTGCTGTAACCATAAAAGCCTTGGTGAGTGAAAGTCCATGTTGCTGAACCAATGAATAATTTCCATCCCTGCTACCATGGCCACTTTGTTCATTGAGCTCATTGTGTGATGACAGAGTTGGATGACAAAAGACATTAACTGGTATCCACAGAATGGGTTATCCTGTCCACTTGCTTATTAAAATCCTTTTCATCTAAGGTCAGCTTTTGATAAGCATTCACATGAAACACAAATATTATCATGTTTTTTGCCCATTCAGAGAAAAAATATCTATCCACATATCTTTTGCCCAGATTTATATGTCACCGATTTTTCAATCGTTTCTTCTAAAATTTTTGCCATCCAGCCAAACCATGGGCCACAGCCCGGCAATCAGTGTATATTTGCACATCTGACCATTTTTCCTTCCAATCATATGAAAAAACAGATGCACCACCAGTAGCTCTGCCCACCTGGAGGATGGGAGGATGCTCCCTCATTTTTCTTAGGAGATGTCCCAGAGAGAGGCTGCAGTGCTTCAACTGCCTGCTTTCATGTGGTTCCTGCATATTGTGCAGTACCATCTGTAAACCAGGTTCAAGTCTTCTCTTCCTCTGTCAACAGATTTTAGGGAGCTCTCCATGAAACCATAGATTCAGGCTGAAAGAGAGATGACAGTATAGCAGCAGTAGGGACGATGGGCATTTGGGACACTTCATCTAACTTACCTGTTTGCACCCACAAACATATAAATTCCATTTGATGATGAAATGTTGATATGCACACTGAAATTTATGGTTTAGTGGGTCAGATTATCCCCAGTTTATCATTGGCAGCTGAGGGCAGATGGTAATTTGGTGGACCGTGGTTACGTGTTCATTCTTTAAGTGAGGCCCAGCAAGAAGTCAAAAGCTGTTTCTTAAAAGGAGAGTAGTTATCCACTGGCAGAAACTGGCAGGGATTTGCTCCCAAATCCTAAGAGTTGTTTTCACTGTGATTCACCTACATGGGCCTACCAAAGGCTCCATACAGCATACCATCTGCCACTGACACTTCAGTCACCATTAAATCTGCTTGATAATATGACCCAAGTGACAAATCAGCTTGCACAACAGCAGAGCCTTCTCTTGTTCTGGGTCCCACACAAAACTAGTAGTTTCGTGGGTAACTCAGTAAATGGGCTTGAGTAATATACACAAACAGTAAATGTCTTGTCTCCAAAAGTCAAAGAGGTTCACTAGGCATTGTGCCCCTTTTTCGGTTACAGGAAGGTTGTACCACTATATCAGGGTCCATCGAAAGATGAATGATAAATAGTAGGGTCATCTATTAGGGTCATGAATTAGGGTCATGAATTTTAGGGTCATCAATAGATGAATGAGTAAAGAAAATGGAATTTTGACACACAATGAAAAAGTATTTATACAGAATGAAGTAGTATTCAGCTGTGAAAAAGGCAACCTTGTCATTTGTGACAACATGGGTGATCTGGAGGACATTATGTTAAGTGACATAAGGTACAGAAAGACACATACTGAATAATTTCACTCATATGTGGAATCTAAAAAAAGTTGATCTGATAAAGATAGAAAGTAGAATTGTAGTTACAAGGGAGTGGAGTGGTGGTGGGGAGTGATGGTCAAAGGACACACAATTTTAGTTAGATAAGAGGAATAAGTTCAAGAAACCTACTGTAAAACTTAGTGACTACAGTTAATATCTTTTATTCCTGAGCAATGCAAACAGAGAAGATGTAAAGTGTTCTCACCACAACAATGAAAACTATGTGAGGTAAGAATATGTTAAATAGCTAGATTAAGTCATTTGGCAATGTATATATACTTCAAAACATTATATTGTACATGGTAAGTATATACTTCAAAATATTATGTTGTACATGGTAAAGTGTTCTCACCACAAAAATAAGAACTATTTGAAGTAAGAATATGTTAATTAGCTATTAGCTATATTTAGTTATTCCACATGTATATACACTCCAAAACATTATGTTGTACATGGTAAATACATATGATTTTATCTGTCACTGCAAAAAAAAAAAAAAAAAAAAAAAAACAGAGAAAACAAATACCATTACATAAGGGATTAGATTTCAACATATAAATTTAGTGGTGGGGGTGCAAACATTCAGACCATACCAAGGAGCTGGATGTAACAACTTACCCTTCACCTTAGAGGAGATATTTTGATATATCTCAAACCACTGGAGTCCTAGAACTTTCAGTGATTTGGAAGGCCCCTGAACTTTCACTGTATTCATATCACCCACTGACATACTTACCAATAAGTCTAGAATAGTTGCTACTTCTTGTTCACTAGATTCAATCAGCATAATGTAATCAATGCAATAAAAGAGTGTGATATGTTGTGGATGGGAAAGGAGATCAATATCCCTGTGAACTAAATTATGACGTAGAACTGAAGAGTTGTTATACCCTTGAGATATGACAGTGAATGTGCTTTATTGGCCTTTCCAGCTAAAGCAAACTATTTCTGATTGGCCTTATGGACAGGGATTGAGAAAAAGCACTTGCTAGATCAATAGCTTTATACTGGGTACCAGGGAATTTTTAAATTTGCTCAAGCAGGGAAACCACATGTGATAGAGCAGCTATAATTAGAGTCAACAGTTGAATAAATTTATAATTCACTGTTTTTCTTCAAGATTCATTTTTCTTCTGCACAGGCCAAATAGGAGAGTTGAATGGGGATGAGACGGTGATTGCCAACTGCATCTTTAAAACACTTGATGATGGCACTAGTCTCTGCAATCTACCCAATGATGTGGTATTGCTTTTGAATTACTACTTTCTTAGGTAGAGGTAGTTTTAGTGGCTTCCACTTGGCCTTTCCTACCATAATGGCCTTGATGCTACAGGTCAGGGAACCAGTATGGGAATTATTTCAGCTGCTAAGTGTATATGTTCCAATTATGAATTCTGCAGCTGAGGAAATAACCACAGGATGGGTTTGGGGAACCACTAGGCCCACTGTGAGATAAACCTGTGCTAAAACATTGATCATCTTACCGCAATAAGCCCTGACTCTGACTGCTGGGCTACAGTGACATTTGGTGTATCTTGGAGTTAGTGTCAGTTCAGAGACAGTTTCCAGTAACTCTTGAAGTTTTCATTACCTCCTTTTTGCCAAAGCACATTTACCCTAGTAAAATGCCATAGATCCATTTGGGGAAGGCTGGGGAAAAAACTCAATGCTGTATGTTTTTGGTAGTGTACCAGAGTTCTTCCTTTAAGAGATCTGGCCTCTCTTTAATCGAGGGATACTAAGCCTATAAACTGGTTCAAGTCTAGGAATTGATTCAGGTGTTGCAACTCGCTATTTTTATTGTTTAAGTTAGAATTTTGTTAATTTGACCTAGAACTTTTCTGCTTATACAGATGAAGTAACAATTTAGTAGGGTTTCAATTTATTTCACTTCTAAGACTATCATAATCAACTAGCTAATGCTATAGGCCTATGTAAGTCAGACTATTCTAATTACTATTTTGACTCTGCTGTCCATGGCTGTAACCAAGTCCACCTTGTCTTTGGTGGTTGAGTGCCACCACTTGGTCACTGCCATTCCAGGATCTAATTAATCTCATCGAATTTAGGTTTCCCAATTTAGTGGCTGCAGTTCCCATTGGAAAGTATGGACTACAAAGGACAATCACAGAGCTGTTCACAGAACTCTTTAGGATGCTGAGGCTCCCCTCACAAATTTATTTCCCACAGTACTTGTAAAAGACATGTCTTCTGAACCTTCCCAATGTGTGAGAGTAAGTCTAAAGACAAATTCACACTAACACTCCAATCTCCCTAGGTCTTTGGATTTCTTCTTTTGTATTAAACCAAGGAAAGCTGTGGGCAATTGTACTAGTTTGTTTTCATGCTGCTGACAAAGACATACCCGAGACTGGGCAATTTACAAAAGAAAATTATGACTTATAGTTCTACATGGTTGGGGGGGCCTCACAATCATGGTGAAAGGCAAGGAGGAGCAAGACACGTGTTACATGAATGGTGGCAGACACAAAGAGCTTGTGTAGGGAGTCTCCCCTTTTATAAAATCATCAGATCTTGTGAGACTTATTCACTATCATGAGAACAGCACAGGAAAGAACTGCCCCCATGATTCAAATACTTCCCACTGGGTCCCTCCCACAATACATGGGAATTCAAAAAGAGATTTGGGTCGGGACACAGCCCAACCATATCATTCCACCCCTGTCCCCTCCCAAATCTCACATCCTCACATTTTAAAACCATCATGCCTTCCCAACAGTCCCCCAGAATCTTAACTCAGTTCAGCATTAACTCAAAACTCTACAATTCAAACTCTCATTCAAAACAAGGCAAGTCCCTTCTACCTGTGAGCCTGTAAAATCAAAAGCAAGTTGGTTACTTCCTAGATACAATGAGGGTACAGGAATTAGGTAAATACAGCCATTCCAAATGGGAGAAATTGGCCAAAGCAAAGGAGTTACACGCCCCAATCAGGTCTAAAATCCAGCAAGGCAGTCAAATCTTAAAGCTCCAAAATGATCTCCTTTGACTTCCTGTCTCACATCTAGATCACACTGATGCAAGAGGTGGATTACCATGGTCTTGGGCATCTCTACCTCTGTGGCTTTGCAGGATACAACTTCCTTCCTGGCTGCTTTCACAGGCTGCTGTTGAGTATCTGTGGCTTTTTCACACTGTGCAAGCTGTCAGTGGATCTAGCATTCTGGGGTCTGGAGGACAGTGGCCCTCTTTTCACAGCTCCACTAGGCAGTACCCCAGTAGAGACTCTGTTTGGGGTCTTCAGCTCTACATTTCCCTTCTGCACTGCCCTAGCAGAGGTTCTTCATGAGGGCCCTGCCCCTGCAGCAGATTCCTGCCTGGGCATTCAGCCATTTCCATACATCCTATGAAATCTAAGTGGAGGTTCCCAAACCTCAATTCTTTACTTCTGTGAACCCATGGGCTCAACACCACATGGAACCTGCCAAAGCATGTGGCTTCACCCTCTGAAGCAACAGCCTGAGATGTACCTTGGCCTCTTTTAGCCATGGCTGGAGTGGCTGGAACACAGGGTACCAACTCCCTAGGCTGCACAGAGCAGGGAGGTCATGGGCCTCACTCACAAAACCATCATTTCCTCCTAGCCCTCCAAGCCTGTGATGTGAGGGTCTGCCACAAAGGTCTCTGACATGCCCTGGAGACATTTTCCCCATTGTCTTCGTGACTAATATTCAGCTCCTCATTACTTATGCAAATTTCTGCAGCTGTCTTGAGTTTCTCTTGAGAAAATGGGATTTTCTTTTCTATCACATTTTCAGGCTACAAATTTTCCAATCTTTTATGCTCTGTTTCCCTGTTAAAACTGAATGCTTTAAACAGCACTCAAGTCACCTCTTTTTTTTTAACTTCTTTTTTTATTTTTTTAATTTTTATTATTATATTTAAAGTTCTAGGGTACAAGTGCACAATGTGCAGTTTTGTTACATAGGTATACATGTGCCATGGTGGTTTGCTGCACCCATCAATGCATCATTTACATCAGGTATTTCTCCTAACACTATCCCCCGCTCAGCCCAACACCCCCAAACAGGCCCCACTGTGTGATGTTCCCCTTCCTGTGTCCATGTGTTCTCATTGTTCAACTCCCACTTATGAGTGAGAACATGCAGTGTTTGGTTTTCTGTCTTTGTGATATTTTGCTGAGAATGATGGTTTCCAGTTTCATCCATGTCCCTATAAAGGACATGAACTCATCCTTTTTTATGGCTGCATAGTATTCAATGGTATATATGTGCCACATTTTCTTAATCCAGTCTATCATTGTTGGACATTTGGGTTGGTTCCAAGTCTTTGCTATTGTGAATAGTGCTGCAATAAACATACACGTGTGTGTCTTTATAGTAGCATGGTGTATAATCCTTTGGGTATATACCCAGTAATGGGATCGTTGGGTCAAATGGTATTTCTAGTTCTAGATACCTGAGGAATTGACACACTGTCTTGCACAATGGTTGAACTAATTTACACTCCCACCAGCAGTGTAAAAGTGTTCTTATTTCTCCACATCCTCTCCAGCATCTGTTGTTTCCTGACTTTTTAATTATCTCCATTCTAACCGGCATGATATGGTATCTCATTGTGGTTTTGATTTGCATTTCTCTGATGACCAGTGATGATGAGCATTTTTTCATGTGTCTGTTGGCTACATAAATGTCTTCTGTTGAGAAGTGTCTGTTCATATCCTTCACCCACTTTTTAATGGGGTTGTTTTTTTCTTGTAAATTTCCTTAAGTTCTTTCTAGATTCTGGTTATTAGCACTTTGTCAGATGGGTAAATTTTCTCCCATTCTGTATGTTGCTTGTTCACTCTGATGATATTTGATGATATTTTGCTATGCAGAAGCTCTTTAGTTTAATTAGATCCCATTTGTCAATTTTGGATTTGTTGCCATTGTTTTTGGTGTTTTAATTATGAAGTCTTTGCCCATGCCTATGTTCTGGATGGTATTGCCTAAGTTTTCTTCCAGGGCTTTTATGGTTTTAGGTCTTACATTTAAGTCTTTAATCCATCTTGAGTTAATTTTTGTATAAGTTGTAAGGAACGGATCCCGTTTCAGCTTTCTACATATGGCTAGCCAGTTTTCTCAGCACCATTAATTAAATAGGGAATCTATTCCCCATTGCTTGTTTTTGTCAGGTTTGTAAAGATCAGATGGCTGTAGATGTATGGTGTTATTTCTGAGGGCTCTGTTCTGTTTCATTGGTCTATATATCTGTTTTGGTACCAGTACCATGCTTTTGGTTACTGTAGCCTTGTAATATAGTTTGAAGTCAGGTAGCATGATGCCACCAGCTTTGTTCTTTTTGCTTAGGAGTGTCTTGGCTATGTGGACTCCTTTTTGGTTCCATTTGAACTTTAAAGTAGTTTTTTTCCAATTCAGTGAAGAAAGCCAGTGGTAGCTTGATGAGGATAGCACTGAATCTGTAAATTATGTTGTTCAGCATGGGCATTTTCACTATATGGATTCTTCCTATCCATGAGCATGGAATGTTCTTCCACTTGTTTGTGTCCTCTTTTATTTCATTGAGCAGTGGTTTGTAGTTCTCCTTGAAGAGGTCCTTCACTTCCCTTATAAGTTGAATTCCTAAGTATTTTATTCTCTTTGTAGTAATTGTGAATGGGAGTTCACTCATGATTTGGCTCTCTGTCTGTTTTTGGTGTATAGGAATGCTTGTGATTTTTGCACATTGATTTTATATCCTGAGACTTTGCTAAAGTTGCTTGTCAGCTTAAGATTTTGGGCTGAGACGATAGAGATTTCTAAATGTACAATCATGTCATCTGCAAACAGAGACGGTTTGACTTCCTCTTTTCCTATTGAATACCCTTTATTTCTTCCTCCTGCCTGATTTCCCTGGCCAGAACTTCCAACACTATGTTGAATAGGAGTGGTGAGAGAGGGCATCCTTGTCTTGCGCCAGTTTTCAAAAGGAATGCTCCAGTTTCTGCCATTCAGTATGACATTGGCTGTGGGTTTGTCATAAATAGCTCTTATTATTTTGAGATACGTTCCATCAATACCTAGTATATTGAGAGATTTTAGCATGAAAGTCTGTTGAATTTTGTTGAAGGCCTTTTCTGCATCTATTGAGATAATCATATGGTTTTTGACGTTGGTTTGGTTTATGTGATGGATTACATTTATTGATTTGGGTATGTTGAACCAGCCTTGCATCCCAGGGATGAAGGTGACTTGATCGTGGTGGTTAAGCTTTTTGATGTGCTGCTGGATTAGGTTTGCCAGTATTTTACTGAGGATTTTCACATTGATGTTCCTCAGGGGTATTGACCTAAAATTATGTTTTTTTTTGTTGTGTCTCCACCAAGCTTTGGTATCAGGATGATGCTGGCTTCATAAAATGAGTCAGGGAGGATTCCCTCTTTTTCTATTGACTGGAATAGTTTCAGAAGGCATGTAACCAGCTACTCTTTGTACCTCCAGTAGAATTCAGCTGTGAAACCATCTGGTTCTGGACGTTTTTTGGTTGGTAGGATATTTTATTGCCTCAATTTCAGAACCTGTTATTGATCTATTCAGAGATTAAACTTATTCCTGGTTTAGTCTTGGAAGGGTGTATATGTCCAGGAATTTATCCATTTCTTCTAGATTTTCTAGTTTATTTGCATAGAGGGGTTCATAGTATTCTCTGATGGTAGATTGTATTTCTGTGGGATCAGTGGTGCTATCCCTTTATCATTTTTTATTGTGTCTATTTGATTCTTCTCTCTCTTCTTTGTTAGTCTTGCTAGTGGTCTATCTATTTTCTTGATCTTTTCAAAAAACCAGCTCCTGCATTCATTGATTTTTTCAAGGGTTTTTTGTGTCTCTATCTCCGTCAGTTCTGCTCTGATCTTAGTTACTTCTTGTCTTCTGGTAGCTTTTGAATTTGTTTGCTCTGGCTTCTCTAGTTCTTTTAATGTTGATGTTAGGGTGTTGATTTTAGATCTTTCCTGCTTTCTCTTGTAGGCCTTTAGTGCTATAAATTTCCCTCTACACACTGCTTTAAATGTGTCCCAGAGATTCTGGTACATTGTGTCTTTGTTCTCATTAGTTTCAAAGAACATGTTTATTTCTGCCTTCATTTTGTTATTTATCCAGTAGTCATTCAGGAGTAGGTTGTTCAGTTTCCTTGTAGTTGTGCAGTTTTGAGTGAGTTTCTTAAGCCCGAGTTCTAATTTGATTGCACTGTTGTCTGAGAGGCAGTTTGTTGTGATTTCTCTTCTTCTACATTTGCTGAAGAATGTTTTACTTACAAGTATGTGGTTAATTTTAGAATAAGCACAATGTGGTGCTGAGAACAATGTGTATTCTGTTGATTTGGGGTGGAGAGTTCTGTAGATGTCTATTAGGTCCACTTGGTCCAGAGCTGAGTTCAAGTCCTGGATATCCTTGTTAATTTTCTGTCTCATTGGTCAGTCTAATATTGACAGTGGGACATTAAATTCTCCCATCATCATTATGTGGGAGTCTAAGTCTCTTTGTAGGTCTCAAAGGATTTGCTTTATGAATCTGGGTTCTCCTGTATTGGGTGAATGTATATTTAGGATAGTTAGCTCTTCTTGTTGAATTGATCCCTTTACCATTATGTAATGGCCTTCTTTGTCTCTTTTGATCTTTGTTGGTTTAAAACCTCTTTTATCCAAGACTAGGACTGCAACCCCTGCTTTTTTTTTTTTTTTTTTTTTGCTTTCCACTTGCTTGGTAGACCTTCCTCCATCCCTTTATTTTGAGCCTATGTGTGTCTTTGAACGGGAGATGGGTCTCCCGTTCAAAGTGTTGAATACACTGTGTTGAATATAGCACAGTGATGGGTCTTGACTCTTTATGCAATTTGCCAATCTATGTCTTCTAATTGGGACATTTAGCCCATTTACATTTAAGGTTAGTATTGTTATGCGTGAATTTGATCCTGTCATTATGATGCTAGCTGGTTATTTTGCCCGTTAGTTGATGCAGTTTCTTCATAGCGTCAATGGTCAAATTTCCAAATTTGGCATGTTTTTTGCAGTGGCTGGTACCAGCTATTCCTTTCCATGTTTAGTGCTTCCTTCAGGAGTTCTTTCAAGGCAGGCCTGGTGGTGACAAAATCTCCCAGCATTTGCTTGTCTGTAAAGGATTTTATTTCTCCTTCACTTATGAAGCTTAGTTTAGCTAGATATGAAATTCTGGGTTGAAAATTCTTTTCTTTGAAAATGTTGAATATTGGTCCCCACTCTCTTCTGGCTTGTAGGGTTTCTGCAGAGAGATCTGCTGTTAGTCTGATGGGCTTCCATTTGTGGGTAACCTGACCTTTCTTTCTGGCTGCCCTTAACATTTTTTCCTTCATTCCAAACTTGGTGAATCTGACAATTATGTGTCTTGGGGTTGCTCTTCTCGAGGAGTAATTTTGTGGTGTTCTCTGTATTTCCTGAATTTTAATGTTGACCTGCCTTTCTAAGTTAGATTAGTTCTCCTGGATAATATCCTACAGAGTGTTTTCCAACTTGGGCCTATTCTCCCCGTCACTTTCAGGTACACCAGTCAAATGTAGATTTAGTCTTTTCACATAGTCCCATATTTCTTGGAGGCTTTGTTCATTTCTTTTCACTCTTTTCTCCAATCTTGTCTTCTCTCTTTATTTCATTCATTTGATCTTCTATCACTGATATCCTTTCGTCTGCTTGATCAAATCAGCTATTGAAGCTTGTGTATGCTTCATGAAGTTCTCATACTGTGGTTTTCAGGTCCATCTGGTCATTTAAGCTCTTCTCTACACTGGTTATTCTAGTTAGCCATTAGTCTAACCTTTTCTCAAGGTTTTTAGCTTCCTTGCAATGGGTTAGAACATGCTCTTTTAGCTCGGAGGAGTTTGTTATTACTGACCTTCTGAAGCCTACTTCTGTCAACTCATCAAACTCATTCCCCTTCCGGTTTTGTTCCCTTGCTGGCGAGCAGTTGTGTTCCTTTGGAGGAGAAGAGGTGTTCTGGTTTTTGGAATTTTCAGCCTTTCTGCTCTGGTTTCTCCCCATCTTTGTGGTTTTATCTACCTTTGGTCTTTGATGTTGGTGATCTACAGATGCAGTTTTGATGTGGATGTCCTTTTTGTTGATATTGATGCTATTCCTTTTTGTTTATTAGATTTTCTTCTAACAGGCCCCTCAGCTTCAAGTCTGTTGGAGTTTGCTGGAGGTCCACTCCAGACCCTGTTTGCCTAGGTATCACCAGCAGAGGCTGCAAAACAGCAAATATTGCCACCTGATCCTTCCTCTGGAAGCTTCATCCCAGACAGGTACCTGCCTGTATGAGGTGTCTGTTGACCCCTACTGGGAGATGTCTCCCAGTCAGGCTACACGTGGGTCAGGGACCCACTTAAGGAGGCAGTCTGTCCATTACCAGAGCTCGAACACTGTGCTGGGGGAACCACTGGTCTTTTCAGAGCTGTCAGGCTGGGATGTTTAAGTCTGGAGAAGCTCTCTGCTGCCTTTTGTTCAGATATGCCCTGGCCTCAGAAGTGGAATCTAGAGAGGCAGTAGGCCTTGCTGAGCTGTGGTGGGCTCTGCCCAGTTCAAGCTTCCCTGCCACTTTGTTTACACTGTGAGCATATAACTGCCTACTCAAGCCTCAGCAATGGTGGGCACCCCTCCCTCCGCCAAGCTCCAGCATCCCAGGTTGATCTCAGACTGCTGCACTAGCAGTGAGCAAGGCTCTGTGGGTGTGGGACCCACCAAGCCAGGCACAGGAGGGAACCTCCTGGTCGGCAGGTTGTGAAGACCGTGGGAAAAGTGCAGTATTTGGACTGGAGTGTACAATTCCTCCAGGTATAGACACTCACGGCTTCCCTTGGCTAAGAAAGGAAAATCTCCCAACCCCTTGCGCTTCCTGGGTGAGGCAATGCCCCTCTCTGCTTTGGCTCACCCTCCATGGGCTGCACCCACTGTCCAACCAGTCCCAATGAGATGAAACAGGTACCTCAGTTGGAAATGCAGAAATCACCCATCTTCTGCATCGATCTTGCTGGTAGCTGTAAACCGCAGCTGTTCCTATTTGGCCATCTTGGAAGCGACCCCAAGTCACCTCTTGAATGCTTTGCTGCTTAGAATTTTTTTCCACCAGATACCCTAAATCATCTCTCTCAAGTTCAAAGTTCCACAAATCACTGGGGCAGGGGCAAAATGTCACCAGTCTCTTTGCTAAAACATAACAAGAGTCAATTTTGTTCCAGTTCCCAACAAGTTCCTGAAACAAGAGTCACTTTTGTTCCAGTTCCCAACAAGTTCCTGATCTCCATCTCCATCTGAGACCACCACAGCCTGGACCTTATTGTTCATATCACTATCAGCATTTTTGTCAAAGCCATTCAACAAGCCTCTAGGAAGTTCCAAAATTTCTCATACTTTTCTGTCTTCTTCTGAGCCCTCCAAACTTTTTCAGTCTCTGATTGTCACCTAGTTCCAAAGTCACTTCCACATTTTTGGGTATCTTTTGGCAACACCCCACTCTACTGGTACCAATTTACTGTATTAGTCTGTTTTCATGCTGCTGATAAAGACATACATGAGACTGTGCCATTAAAAAAAAAAAGAGGTTTAGTAGAGTTACACTTCCACATGGCTGGAGAGGCCTCACAATCATGGTGGAAGGCAAGGAGGAGCAAGTCACATCTTACATGTATGGCAGCAGGCAGAAAGAGCTTTTGCAGGGAAACTCCCCTTTTTTAAAACCATCAGATCTCATGAGACTTATTCACTATCATAAAAGCGGCACAAGAAAGATGTGCCCTCATGATTTAGTTACCTCCCACCCAGTCCCTCCCACAACAACTGGGAATTCAAGATGAGATTTGGGTGGGGACACAGCCAAACCATATCAGCATTTTTTTTTTTTTTTTGTAGTATACGGCACGTCTTCATGTATCACATTTTGTACTTCACCCTTAAAGTCCTGCTGGGACTTGAGTCTAGTTACAGATCTAGAAGAAGAGAGATGGTGGAGGTTGGTCCTGAAAAGTATCAGCATTTTCTAAAATGGAAACTTCCTCAGGAGAGGCCAATACAGTTTCTCAAGGAGTCCCAGGTTAATTCAATCAGACAGAAGTAGAAAGGCAGATACCACTCTGGGTAGAAAAGCCGATATCCTTGAGAGTGTGAATGCCAATGTTCCTGAGGGTTTGGAAGGCTATTTACACTGGGGATGAGGAGCCACTTTTGCAAAGGAGGGGCTTCTTGTACTAGGGGTGGCACGACCTCTTCCAGTGGCAAAGAAGACTCATAAGAATTTAGGAGCTCAATGACCCCATATTCATCAGAGTTTTCTCACACTTACAGTATTTCAATTTATAATATCCCATTATTTCCTGATCAATGGTCTCACTTTTGCAGTACACACTTTATAAGGCTTGGAGTTCAACTTGTCTTCTACTTTATCAATTGTCACAGGATGAGATTCTGCATTTGATTTTCAGCAATTTTAGCTCTGCTGCTGTAAGTAGTAAGAATCTCCTTCAGGCACACACAGAAGTTTTTTGATTATTTATGTAATACTTGGGCTGGGAATTTAAATCCCTGAGCTCGTTTTTTTAACTACTTTGTTCAGCAACATTAGGAGTAACAGGCCAACATCATTATATTAATTAATTTTTTAAAAACATGTTTGAAGGTATTCTATAAAGAGTCATCTAGCTTCTGGCTCCTTAAAAGTGACTGATTGTTGAGTATTCAGTACAGATATTTTGTGTATCTCAGTAAATAATTTACTCCATGGACTATTGTTTCTCTCTTTACTCCTGGAAGTAGAGTTATTAGCATCTTTAAATATAATTACATTAGAGACCCAATTCCATAAACACAAAACAAATCCAAAGCCCTTATTCTTAAAATTCTGTTTCTCTAGAGCCATTCTCCACACCAAAATCTGTATTAATCAGAGTTCTTCAGAACTAATAGGATATATATAAGAGAGGAATTGGCTCACATGATTATGAAGGCTGAAAAGTTCTAGAATTTAACATCTGCAAACAGGAGACTCAAGAAAGTCACTATAGTGTAATTTTTATTCAAGTTTGGCAGCCTGAGAACTGGGGTGTGTGGGGAGGTGTTCCTGTATAAAGTCTAGTTCAAAATTATAAAATCAATGTCCCAGCTCAAACAGGCAAGCATCAAGTGAAAGGGACAAATTTACCCTTTTTCTCCCTATTTGTTTTATTCAGGTCCTCAGCATATTGGATAATGCCCATGCACACTGGGGAAAACAATCTACTTTATTGATTTCACCAGTTCAAATTCTAGTCCCATCTAGAAACGCACTCATAGACACACTCAGAAATAATGTTTAATCTGGGCACCCCGTGGTACAGTAAAGTTGATATGTAAAATTAATTATCATACCAGATCAATAGCTGCATACCAGATACCATGGCATGTGTTACTTTATTAAAGCAATGAAACTACATCTGGGACAGCAGGTACAATAGGATTCACCACCTGGTTAAGTTTATAATAATTCACTGCCATTCTCTGAAATCTATGTTTTCTGCACAAGTCAAAAAAAGAAATTGCATGGGGATGTGGTAGCAATCACTATTTCTGTATATATTTTCTGTATCCATTCCAACATTTTAATCTCCCTAAGCCTTTGGTTACCTTCATTAGCAATATAGCAAGACTGTTCTGGTACTTCAACTTCTATTCCTGTAGGTAGCCTTTTGTTTCATGTTTCAGCAAACCAAGCAAACAAACTGTTTGTTAGAACTCTTTCTACCTTCTCAACATTATTATTAAATACAGAATCTCTTCTTAGAGAGCTCCCTTCAATAATTTTAGCCGCATCCTACTTTAAGTTTCTTCTACCTTTATTCCACATGCTTAATATTCACTCTCACACATATTATCCATATTAACAGCTATATAAATTTTAAAAATTATGCAGTTCTTTTGGAGTGCAGCACACGTCTTCATGTGTCACACTTTATACCTCATCCTTTGGTTTATGCTGGGAATTCAGCTTAATTATAGGTCTAGAAGTAAAGATATATATTGTATATAGGTCCTGAGAAGAATTAGCAATATCTTTCAAGCAAATGCCTCGTGGGAGATCATTAGAGTGTCTTCAGGAAAAGCAGGATTAACTTTCTCAAACATGGTGAAAAGTATGATTCTACTGGAAAAGAAAACTCAGCAAAATTCAGGAGTTCAATATTCCCAAATGCTTCTACTCATATGCCTTCATTCTAGTGGATAGCATCCCATTCCTTCCCAATCTATGCCCTCAGTTTAATGGCCAGCACCCTTTGAAGTGAGAATTAAATTTTTATTGTAATTACCACGCACAGGATGAGACTGGGTTTGGCCTTTAGCAGTCTCAGCTGTAAGGCTACTAGAGGTAAGGGTTTCTTTTTCAGGACAGACATAGAAACTTGCAGCTCATTTTTGTAGAGCTTGAGCTGGGAATTCTAATTCTTGAGCTTATTCATTTTCTTTTCTCACATTCTCCAGGATAACTAGGAGCAACCAGCCACTCATTACATTCATTAGTTTGACAAAATGTTCTAAGATATCAACTAAACATTCTTTCAGAAACTTGCTTTTTGTAATAATCTGACTAGGAGTCAATATCAAACTGGTGATATTTTGAATATCTATATTACCACAACGTATCATGGACTATCAGCACTCTCTTTCCTAATAGAAATACAGTCATTAATGTTTTTAAATCAAATCATACTAGAGAACCAATTCCATAACCACATAACCATTTCACAAAACTTACTTTTTAGAAAATGTTTTTCCCCTAGAACCATTCTTGGTACCAAAAGCTGTATCAGTCATATTTCTTCAGAGGAAAAGAATAAATTATGTGTGTGTGCACACACACACACACACACACATATTATATTTACATTACATATACATATATCACATATACATATATTACATTTTACAATATATACACTGTCCATATCTTATTGATATCAAATTGATATACTATATTAATATCAATATAATATTAAAATATAATATACTCAGATATATATTAATATACTGATACACAATATATTTATTATATATTATTTCTATGATATACATGAAGAGAGAAAGAATAATTTTAAAGAATTCACTAACATGATTTTGGAAGCTGGCAAGTCTGAAATTTATAGGATAGGACAATAGACAAAAAACTCAGGTAGGACTTTATGATGTAGACTTGAGGCAAAATCTCTTCTTCTCTGGGAAATCTTTGGTTTTGCTTTTAAGGCCTTTCAACTGAGTGGATAAAACCACCCACATTATTAAAGGTACCTTCTTTTCTTAAAGTGAACAGATTGTAGATGTTAACTACATCTACAAAATACCTTCATAGAAACCCCTAGATTTTTGTTTGATTCAATAACTGAATACTATAGCCTAGCTAAGTTATTAATAACACACACAGACACAGACACACACACGCACACACACAAACTAAAAATCAACCATCCAACAACTTGATTTTTTTTTCATGGCCTGTGTGTATAGCTTTTAAGGAGTGGAGGAAAGAAACACTTAATTTTTTTCATGGTCTTCATTTACAGCTTTTGTAGCAGCAGAGGGAAAGCTTCACCTCTGCTTTCTGCAGGTTTCTCTGAAATAAACTGAGAATTGGCAGATTAATAAGAGAAAAGGAATACAAATTTATTAATGTGCATAAACATGGGAACCGTATATACTACAAGACTCAAAGAAGAGCCAGATGGTTGAGGTTTAATTACCTTCCTCATAGGGAAAAGGGAAGTGGGATGATGTAGGCAATTTTAGAATGGTAGTAAATAATTTTTAGTAAAAATGAATAGAACCTGCAGACAGATGCTAAATCTTTCTTTCAGAAAACTGAAAAAGGCTGGCAAATTATGAGAAGGTGAGGGGAATAACTGCATTGTGAAAAAACGTTTTCTTATTCTGTACATAAAGTTTTCCAGGAGCTGTCCTCTTGGAGCTGCCCTCAGAAAAACAGAAGAAAACTTTATCTGAGCATAGTGGTGACTTTTAATCTCTCCTCTTTTCTAGTGGTTAATTTTTCCTGGTTATTTGATGAGTTTCCCAGGGAGGACATTGATATGGTTTGGCTGTGTCCCCACCCAAATATCACTTTGAATTGTAATAATCCCCATGTGTCAAGGGTGGGGCTTGGTGGAGATAATTGAATCATGAAGACAGTTTTTCCCATACTTTTCTTGTGGTAGTGAATAAGTCTCATGAGAACTGATGGTTTTATGAGTGGGAGTTCCCCTGCACAAATTCTCTTGCCTGCCACCATGTAAGATGTGACATTGCTCCTCCTTCACCTTCCACCATGACTGTGAAGCCTCTTCAGCCATGTGGAACTGTGAACCAATTAAAATTTTTTGCTTTATAAATTACCCAGACTCAAGTATGTCTTTATTAGCAGCATGATAACAGACTAATACAGTAAATTGGTAACAGTAGAGTAGGGTGGTGCTGTAAAGAGACCCGAAAATGTGGAAGATACTTTGAAACTGGGTAACAGGCAGAGTTTGGAACAGTTTGGAGGGCTCAGAAAAAGATAAAAAATGTAGGAAAGTTTGGAACTTCTGAGAGACTTAGAGTGCTCAGAAGACAGAGAGATGTGGGAAAGTTTGACACTTTCTAGAGACTTCTTGAATGGCTTTGACCAAAATGCTGATAGTGGTATAGACAATAAAGTTCAGGTTGAGGTGGCCTCAGATGAAGATGAGGAACTTGTTGGGAACTGGAATAAAGGTTACTCTTGCTATGTTTGAGCAAAGAGACAGACGACATTTTGCCCCAGCCCTAGTGATTTGTGGAACTTTGAACTTGGGAGAGATAATTTAGGGTATTTGGTAGCGGAAATTTCTAAGCAGCAAAGCACTAAAGAGGAAGTAGAGCATAAAAGTTTTTTTTTTTTTTTTTTAATGCAGCCTGACAATTCGATAGAAAGGGAAAACCCATTTTCTGGGGAGAAATTAAAGCCAGCTGCCGAAATTTGCATAAGTTACAAGGAGCCAAATGCTAATCACCAAGATAATGGGGAAAATGTCGCCAGGGCATGTCAGAGACCTTTGCAGCATCCCCTCCCATCACAGGCCCAGAGGCCTAGGAGGAAACAACGGTTTCCTGGGCCAGGTTCAGGGCCCACCTGGGACTTGGTGCCATGCATCCCAGGTGCTCCTGCCTTGACTAAAAGGGGCCAAGGTACAGCTCCAGCCATAGCTTTAGAGGGTGCAAACCCCAAGCCTTGGCAGCTTCCATGTCATGTTGAGCCTGTGAGTGCACAGAAGTAAATAATTGAGGTTCAGAAACCTCCACCTAGATTTCAGAGGATGTATGAAAATGCCTGGATGTCCAGGCAGAAGTTTGCTGCAGGGGTGGAGGCTTCATGGGGAATCTCTCCTAGGGCAGTGCAGAAAAAAATGTGGGGTGGGAGTCCCCACACAGAGTCCACTAACAGCTTGCACCATCCACCTGGAAAAGCCACAGACACTTAATGCCAGCCCATGAAAGTAGCCAGGAGGGGTGCTGTACCCAAAAAGCCACAGGGTCAGAGCTGCACAAGACTGTGGGAGCCCACCTTTTGCATCAGCATGACCTGGATGTGAGACATGGAGTCAAAAGAGATTATTTCAGAGCTTTAATACTTGACCACCCTCTTGGATTTCGGACTTGCATGAGGCCTGTAGCCCTTTCATTTTGGCCAATTTCTCCCATTTGGAACAAGTGTATTTACTCAATGCATGTACCCCCATTGTATCTAGGAAGTAACTAACTTGTTTTTGATTTTACAGGCTCATAGGCAGAAGGGACTTCCCTTGTCTCTGATGAGACTTTGGACTGTGAACTTTGGTGTTAATGGTTAAATGAGTTAAGACTTTGGGGGACTGTTGGGAAGGCATGATTGGTTTTGAAATGTGAGGACACGAGATCTGGGAGGGGCCACAAGCAGAATGATAGAGTTTGGCTGTGTCCCCACACAAATCTTACCTTGAATTATAATAATACCCATGTGTCAAGGAAGGGGCCAGCTGGAGATAATTGGATCATGGTGGGGTGTGTTTTCCCCATATTATTCTCATGATAGTGAATAAGTTTTATGAGAACTGATAGTTTTATAAATGGGAATTCTGCTGCACAAACTCTCTTGCTTGCCACCATATAAGATGACACTTTGCTTCTCCTTTGCCTTCCACCATGATTATGAGGCCTCACAAGCCATGTGGAACTGTAAGTCAATTACACTCTTTTCTTTGTAAATTACCCAGTCTCAGGTATGTCTTTATTAGCAGCATGAGAACTGCCTGATTCAGATGTTTTATGACAGTTGCATTCATTTTAGAAAGATATTTCTTTAAGTCAGATAAGAAAATTCCAGAGAGAGTCTCTCTGTAAATATGGAAAGGACAAAATGAGACAAAATTTAAAAGTTCTTGGTTTTGAGGCAGCTTCTAAGGTCTTATATATTTTTTAGTTCAAAATTTTCAGCATGCCAAAGCAATATACTTTGGGGTATTATTTTCTGTGCTCCAACACTTTTTTTTTGAGACAAGGTCTCACTCTCTCACCCAGACTGGAGTTCAGTGACATGAACACAGCTCACTTCAGCCTAAATATCTTAGGTTCAAGCAATACTCCCACACAAGCCTACTGAGTAGCTGAAACCACAGGCACTTGCCACCATGACTGGCTAAATTTTGTAGAGATGAAGTCTCACTGTGTTACCCAGGCTTATCTCAAACTCCTAAGCTCAAGTGCCTTGGCCTCCCAAATTGCTGGGACTACAGCTGTGAGCCAATGTGCCCTTCACCTCCCAAATTGCCAGGATTACACTGTGAGCCATTGCCTTGTAATACTTTTTAAAATTACTTTTGTTTTCAAGTTATTTCAATTTAATCTACCACAAGACTTGTTCTCTCAATTTTTTTGCAAGATATTTTGGCATTCTTCATCAAATATTCAATGAAGAAACTAGAAAATTAACAAGGACCAATAAGGCTTTTAAGGATATATATCTAATTACCCTATTATGTGGAAGATTCTGATACCACTCAAAAAGAATGGAATATAATCAACAGACCTAGGTTTAAGTATGAGTACCAGCACTCATTCCTTGTGTAAATTGGGCACAATGGTTAAACTCTCTAAGCATAAGTTTTCTTATGTACAATTGCGACAGCCATGGTCAACAGTTATACTGAATTTGAATAGCATTGACCCATGTTTTCATATAATGGAGAAAATATTATTTCCCTCCATATTTCCAGGTACTCTCTTATTTCCTATGTTTCTCCTAGTCATTTCTGCCCCTGCATTTCTGCTTCTATTGAATTTTCTCAGTTCATAGATCATCTCACTTTTCTTTTTTTAAATTTTTTCTTTTTAAATTTTTGTGATTACATAGTAAAAGTGTACACTCTTTTGTGGTATGTGAGATGTTTTGATACAGGCATGCATTGTGAAATATGCATATCATGGAGAATGAAGTATCCATCCCCCCAAGCATTTATCTTTTGAGTTATAAAAAATCCAGTTTCATTCTTTAAGTTATTTAAAAATATATAATTAAGTTATTGTTGACTATGTTCACCCTATTTTGCTATCAAATAGTAGGCCATATTCATTCTTTCTATTTTTTTCCCATTGACCATCCCTACCTCCCTCCCAAACCCCACTACCCTTCCCAGCCTCTGGTAACCATCCTACTAATCTCTATGTCCATGAGTTACATTGATTTTATTTTTAGATCCCACAAATAAGTGAGAACATGCAATGTTTGCTTCTCTGAGAGAGGCTTGTTTCACTTAACATAATGATCTCCAGTTCCATCCATGTTGTAGCAAATGACTAGATCTTATTCTTTATTATGGCTAAAAAGTACTCCATTTTGTATATTTACCACGTTTTCTTTATCCATTCATCTGTTGATGGACACTCAGGTTGCTTCAAAATCTTAGCTATTGTAAACAGTACTGCAACAAATAGAGGACTGCAGATATCTTTTTGATATACTTATTTCCTTTCTTTGGCATACATATCCAGTGGTCGGATTGCTGGATCAAATGGTGGCTCAATTTCTAGTTTTTTGAAGAACCTCTAAACAGTTCTCCTTAGTAGTCATATTAATATACATTCCTACCCAACAGTTTATGAGGGTTTACTTTTTCTCCACATCATTGTCAGCATTTATTGTTGCCTGCCTTTTGGATATAAGCCATTTAACTGGGGTGAGATGATATCTTATTTTAGTTTTGATCTGCATTTTTCTATATCACATAAGCACTAAGAGTGCAAGGCAGGCTAGAATCAGTTTGTGTTTAGTAAATTGCTTGGCATTGGAGAATTTTGTGAATATGATCCTTGTGACCACATAGTATGAAGCTAAGATACATGGAGAAAGATGCAAATTTATTAGATATTACTGGTCATTCCTAAACACAATGTCCTATTTCAGACCTCCTTTGTGCCTGCTCCTTGATTTATACAATTTTTTTACCTGCCTTGTTTATGCAGAAAATTTCTACCCATCCTTTAAGAGCCAGATCTCCTATCACCACTTTGTGAACGCTTCCTCAAATCCCAGCCAGGCAGCTCAGTCCTCTAGAGTCCTCACTGTCATTTTTATGCAATTCTTGTTTAGAGTAGATCACATTTGATAATCATTTTTTTTTAATTTGTGCTTTTCTACTAAACAGTAAACTCCTTATGGGCAGAGACCATGTCTTACTCATCTTTGTACCTTCAGTGCCTATTATTATTTTTTGTACATAGTCTATAACGAATAAATTACTTATGTGCTTCAGTTTACTCATCTGTAAAACTGGAAATAAAAATAATGCCTTCCTGTTGGGGTTACTGTGATGAATAAATAAAATAATATATATGTAAATTGCTTAGAACAGTGCCTAGAATATAATAAGTGACCAATAAATCTTAATCATTATGATTATTATCACCATCGCTATGATTGTTAAATTGATGTCAAATAAGCCAGATACAGAAGGACAAATACTACATGATTCCATTTATATGAGGAAAGTAAAATAGTAAAATTCACAGAAGCGGAGAGCAGAATAGTGATTGCCAGGAACTGGGGGAGAGGGGGAAACAAGGAAATATTAACCAAAAGTTACAAAGAGTTATGCAAGATGAAGAAATTTTAGAGATCTCAGGTACAACAGAATGCTTATAGTTAACAACACAGCATTGTATACTTAAGCATTTGCTAAGAGAGTAGATATTATGTAAATATTATTATCACAAAAATAATTGTAATAAATAAATAAAGAGGATAGGAGTAAAATAAGCTAATTAATATTAAATTATATTGGAAAACTAGCATTAGAATCCAGGTTGCAAAGCCTGGTGTACATTCTATTCCTCCAGCCCTGGTTACTATGTCCTGTAGTACTTCAGCTGATTCCAGTGTTTTTAGGCAAAACATCTTGTTCAGAATCTTTTTAATTCTATTTTCTCCATTTTTCTAGCCAAACTGTCTCATTTCTTTAATATTTTCTTTCATATTAAGAAAAAAGGTTATCAATAAAGTATAATGAGGTAAAGATTAATTCTTTACTCATCATTATGGTTTCATGATTGTTTACAGTGTGTAAAATGACATAATCCAGATAAAAAGTACTATGGTTCTAGAAGGTCCTTTAGGATGGAATATCAAATAGAAAAATCACAGAATATTTACAAATTCTAGATTCTCCCAGTCTTCCAGTCCAAAGTCTTTGAATGTTTTTGAATATGAGATATAGTAAAGACATATATTTTAAACCATGACTCACTACAAAATGTACACATGCAGAGCCACCATACAATATACACATGTATACATAGCTTAAAAAAATAAAAGTTTCCCAAACTTACATATATTCTTAAACATGCTGTGCCATTTTTGACTCTATTCTATTTAAAAACACTGATCATCTCTCCTTAAAGTGACTATATGACCCTTGATTAGATGGCTGTCCATTATTCAAAAACACTACTCTTATTCAACTCCTCCAAGTTGTTATATTGATAATAAAGCTTAGTATCAAGAATTACTCAATGTCACACAACTCATAATGAAATCATAGCAAAATAATGGGATAGTAAATTCTGCTCATTTCCTAAGATCTGGGAACCCTTGTATAATACCTTGAATAAGGACCTAAATGTTGCTTCAAAGCCTAGCACAGTTGGCACTCAATACATATTTGTTGAATTAATTTGTTGAATCAATGAATAGTATGTGGGTGCCTCTACTTACAGAGTGACGCATACTCTTTAGTCTATGAAGAGAATTAAAAAAGGAGCTCCTAGAAATTTATTAAAAGAAGCAATTATGATAAGTGTGATGGAATTCAATGTGTTGGAGCCCAACTTCAATACAAGATGAATCCAGTGTGCAAAATTTGAAAGTCATCACAAAAAGCTTTATTAAGTCTTGGGAAATAGGAACCAGCTATTTAGAGAGTTAATGGAATATTTAAATGTTACATATATTTGAAGGAATTTAGAGTGCCCCAGAGGAATTGCCTCAAACACATCTCACTTTAGGTGACTCAATCACTTATGTGAACAGTTTTCTGTTTTCAGGTCTTTATGACTATTCATTTTTAATACCGCATTAGCTGCTTCTGTCTTATAAATGCTTTCCTTGTTTTGCTGCTGTTTTTTTACCACAGTGAATTATCACAGAGTTCAGGGACTGGGACCAGGTTACAAAATTTTTTATACTTAAAATATAACAATAGTGCCTGACAGGTAAGAATATTTTCCCCATTCATTTTCTTGAATTTTTATTTTATATACTTCATTTGTTTATTTTGCTGATATCAAAAATGTTTGCAACATTTCTACTTAGAAACTTAGTTGGTTAAAATAAGTAATCGCAAGATATGATCATTTTATTATTGTTTTCTTAAACATGTATCACTTTAACATAGATTAATGGAGATAAAATAAATATCTCTTAGCACTGTTAGATTATTGATTTTTTCAAAGCAATACGGCATTTGACAAACTCCCAAAAATATGAATTTATTTTAAAAATAATAAATGAAAATAATCCACTGAGAATGTTGTGCCTGAGAAAATAGCAACTTAGCCCAAATTTCCGGATGCTTCTTTATGCCAACTGCACCCAAGGAGAGCTGTTCTAATCTCCTAGTGCCTGTATGGTCTTTAACAACTTGCAATTTACCTTCTGCAGGACCAAGGAGACAGCTCAAATACTGTGAGTGCCCAAAGTGTGAAAGTAGAAAACGGGGATCATCTGCCCCCAAACACATACCCTCACTGGGGAACCTAAAGGTCCAAATTATGGGAGAAGGATTTGATCTTACCTAGAGCTGAGACAATTTAGAGAGCTCGGCAAAATACGGGAGTAGAGGAAGCAGCGGCAAGAGCCCTGTGGTCTCTCTGGGTCACCAGGGAAGCCACTTCTGACTTTGTCTCACAGGTGTCCTTGGGGAGAGCTGCCAGAGGAACTGGGAAAACACCACAAGGGAAAGAAACATCCAGATGAACATCGTAACAATTCCAACCAAACACAAAGGTTCTTGAACAAAATTCATGGGAGGGGTTGAATCCAGAGTACAGATGCAGGCAGGCAGGGAGGCATGAAACCTGAAACCCCTGCTTGCTTTCTCAGCCAGGAGGCTGGTAGCCTGGGGCAAGTTCTCAGCCCTGCTTGCCCACTGCCTGGAAATAAACTCAGGGCTGTTGGTGGTCAGGGGCATGGTGGGAGTCAGACCGGCCTTTTGGGTTGCATGGGAGCTGGCTGAGGCTTGTAACTGCCAGATTTTTATTACTTCCCTTGTGACCTGCATGACACAGCAGAGGCAGCCATAATCCTCCTGGGAACATAACTCCATTAACCTGGGAACCACACCACCATCCCGCACAGCAGCTGCAGCAAGCCCTGCCCAAGGAGAATCTGATCTCAGACATGTCTGATCCTACCCCCACATGATGGTCTTTCTCTACCCATCCTGGTAGCTGAAGACAAATGTCATATTCTCAGCCAGGTGTGGTAGCTCATGCCTGTAATCCCAGTACTTTGGGAGGTTGAGGCAGACAGATTACGAGGTCAGGAGATCGAGACCATCCTGGCTAACATGGTGAAAGCCCATCTCTACTAAAAACACAAAAAATTAACTGGGTGTGGTGGTGGGCACCTATAGTCCCAGCTACTTAGGAGGCTGAGGCAGGAGAATGGTGTGAACCCAGGAGGCACAGCTGGCAGTGAACCGAAATCACGCAACTGCACTCCAGCCTGGGTGACAGAGTGAGACTCTGTCTCAAAAAAAAAAAAAAAAAAAAGTCATATTATCTTGGGAGTTCTAGGGCCCTGCCCACTCCCTGATCCTCCCTGTACTACCCACAGCTGATGCTTTCTTAAAAACACCACCTCCTAGCAGGAGGCCAACCAGCATAAAACTAGTTCAATAAACAACAACAACAAAACTAAGGACCCTCACAGAGTCCATTTCACTGCCCTGCCATCTCCACTGAAGCAGGTGCAGCTATCCATGGCTGAGAGACTAGAAGACGGTTTACATCACAGGACTCCATGCAGACAACCCCCCCAGTACTAGCCCAAAACCCAGTAGCCCCACTGGGTGGCTATATCCAAAAGAGAAATAACAATCACTGCAGTTTGGGTCTCAGAAAGCCACATCCCTAGGAAAAAGGGGAGAGTACTACATCAAGGGAGCACCCTGTGGGACAAAATATTCTGAACAACAGCCATTGAGCCCCAGATCTTCCCTCTGACATAGCCTACCCAAAACATAAAAAACCAAAAGAACAATTATGGTAATATGACAAAACAACGTTCTTTAACACCTTCAAAAAATCATACTACCTCACCAGCAATGGATCCAAACCAAGAAGAAATTACTGATATGTCAGAAAAGGAATTCAGAAGGTCCATTATTAAGTTAATAAAGGAGGCACCAGAGAAAAGTAAAGTCTAATTTAATGAAATTAAAAAAATGATACAAGATATGAGGGGAGAAATTTTCAGTAAAATAGATAACATAAATAGAAAACCATCACAGCTTCTGGAAACCAAGGACACAGCTATAGAAATGCAAAAGGCACTGGAAAGTCTCTGCAGTAGAATTGAACAAGAAGAAGACATAACTTCAGTGCTTGAAGACAAGGTTTTTGAAATAATCCAACAAAGACAAAAAAAAAAATTTAAACTGAACAAAGCCACCAAGAAGTTAGAGATTATGTTAAATGACCAAACCTAAGAATAATTGGCATTCCTGAGGAAGAAGAGAAATCTACAAGTTTGGAAAACACATTTTGGGAAATAATTGAAGAATACTGTCCCGGCCTTGCTGGAGACTCAGACATCCAAATGCAAGAAGCTCAAAGAACACCTGGAAAATTCATTACAAAAAAAGATAATCACCTAGGCACATAGTCATCAGGTTATCTAAAGTCAAGACAAAGGAAATAATATTAACAGCTGCGAGGCAAAAGCATGAGATAAGCAGATTAATAGCAGATTTCTCAGCAGAAACCCTACAAGCAAGAAAGAATTGGGGCTCTATCCTCAGCCTCTTTAAACAAAACAATTATCACCCAAGAATTTTGTATCCAGGGAAAGTAAGCTTCATAAATGAAAGAAAGATACAGTCATTTTGAGACAAACAAATGCTGAGAGAGTATGCCACTTTCAAGCCAGCACTATAAGAACTGCTAAAAGGAGCACTAAGTCTTGAAACAAATCCTCAAAGTACATCCAAAAATACATCAAAAAAGAACCTCTTAAAAGCATAAATCTCACAGGACCTATAAAACAACACAACAAATAATATCAAAAACCAAGGTATTCAGGCAACAAATAGCATGATGAATAGAATAGTACCTCACATCTCAATACTAATGTTGAATGTAAACTGTCTAATGCTCCACTTAAAAGATATGTAATGGCAGAATGGATAAGAATTCACCAACCAAGTATCTGCTGCCTTCAAGAGACTCATCTAACACATAAGGACACAAATAAACTGAAGATAAAAGGGCAAAAAAAGACATTCCATGCAAACAAACACCAAAAGTGAGCAGGAGTAGCTATTCTTATATCAGACAAAACAAAGTTTAAAGCAACAGCAGTTAAACAAGACAAAAAGGGCCATTATATAATGATAAAAGCTGCTGTCCAACAGGAAAGTATCACAATCCTAAATATATATGCACCTAACACTGGAGCTCCCAAATTTATAAAACAATTACTACTAGACCTAAGACATGAGATAGACAGCAATACAATTATAGTGGGGGATTTCAATACTCCAATGACAGCACTAGACAGGTCATTAAGACAGAAAGTCAACCAAGAAAAAATGGATTTAAATTTTACCCTAGAACAAATGGACTTAACAGATATTTACAGAATATTCTACCAAACAAACACAGAATATACATTTTATTCATCAGTGCATGGAGCATTCTCCAAGATGGGCCATATGATAGGCCAAAAACAAATCTCAATAAATTTAAGAAAATTCAAATTATATCAAGTACTCTCTCCTACTACAGTGAACTAAAATTGGAAATCAACCCCAAAAGGAACCTTCAAAACCATGTGGATACATGGAAATTAAATAATCTGCTGTGGAATGATCATGGGGTCAACAATGAAATCAAGATGGAAATTTAAAAATTATTTGAACTGAATGATAATAATGACACAACTTATCAAAACCTCTGAGATACAGCAAAGGCAGGGCCAAGGGGTAAGTTCACAGCCTTAAATGCCTACATCAAAAGATCTGAAAGAGCACAAATAGACAATCTAAGGTCACACCTCAAGGAACTTGAGTAACAAGAACAAACCAAACCCAAACCCAGCAGAAGAAAAGAAATAATCAAGATCAGAGCAGAACTAAATAAAACTGAAAGAAACAAACAACAACAACAAAAAAAAAACAAGACAAAAGATAAATGAAACAAAAAGCTGGTTCTTTGAAAAGATAAATAAAATTGATAGACCATGAGCAACAATAACCAGGAAGAGAGAAGATCCAAATAAGTTCAATTAGAAATGAAACAGGAGATATTGCAACCAAGAAAACAAAAATACAAAAGATCATTCAAGGCTACTATCAACACCTTAATGCACATAAACTAGAAAACCTTGAGAAGATGAATAAATTCCTGGAAATACACAACTCTCCTAGCTTAAACCAGGAAAAATTAGATACCTCGAACAGACCAATAACAAGCAGTAAGATTGAAGTGATAACAAAAAATTGCCAACAACAACAACAAAAAGTCCAGGGCCAGACAGATTCATAGCTGAATTCTATCAGATATTCAAAGAAGGATTGGTACAAATCTATTTACACTGTTCCACAAGTGTAATCATTCTATGAAACCAGCATCACAAATACCAAAACCGGAAAGGACATAACAACAACAATGAAAAAACTACAGACCAATATTCCTGATGAATATAGATGCAAAAATCCTTAACAAAATATTAGCTAACAGAATCCAACAGCATATCAAAAAGATAATCCACCATGATCAAATGGGTATCATACCAGGAAAGCAGGAGCGGTTTAACATACACAAGTCAAAAAACGTGATACACCATATACACAGAATTAAAGACAATAATCTTTAATAATATCTTTAATAATTATGAGATGATAAGGATCATCTCAATAGATGCAGAAAAAGCATTGACAATTTGACAAATCCAGCATCCCCTTATGATGAAAAACCTCAGCAAAATCGGCATAGAAGGTACATACTTTAATGTAATAAATGTCATGTATGACAAACGCACAGCTAACATAATACTGAACGGGGAAAAGCAGAAAACTTTCCCTCTGAGAACTGGAACAAGACAGGGATGCCGACTCTCACCATTTCTATTCTACATAGAACTGGAAGTCCTAGTCAAAACAACCAGATAAGAGAAAGAAAGAAAAGACATCCAAATTGGTAAAGAGGAAGTCAAACACTTGCTGTTTGCTGATGATCTGACTGTGTTCCTAGAAAACCCTAAAGACTCATCTAAAAAGCTCCTAGAACTGATAAATGAATTCAACGAAGTTACAGGATACAAAATTTATGTATACACATCATTCGTTCTGCTATACACTAGCAGCAACCAAGCTGAGAATCAAATCAAGAATTCAACCACCTTTACAATAGCTGCAAAAAAATGAAATAAAATACTTAGGAGTGCACCTAACCAAGGAGGTGAAATAACTCTACAAGAAAAATTCCAAAACCCTGCTGAAAAACATCATAGATGACACAAACAAATGGAAACATGTCTCATGTTCATGGATGGGTAGTATGAATATTGTGAAAATGACAACACTGCCAAAAGCAATCTACAAATTCAATGCAATTCCTATCAAAATACCATCATCATTCTTGACAGAACTAGAAAAAACAATTATAAAATTCATCTGGAACCAAAAAAGAGCCCACATAGCCAAAGCAAGACTAAGCAAAAAGAACAAATCTGGAGACATCACATTACCTGATGTGAAACTATACTATAAGGCCATAGTCACCAAAACAGCATGGTACTGGTATAAAAATAGGCACATAGACTAATGTAACAGAGAACTTAGAAATAAAGCCAAATACTTACAGGCAACTGGTCTTTGACACAGCAAACAAAAACATAAAGTGGAGAAAGGACACTGTATTCAACACATTGTGCTGGGATAATTGGCAAGCCACATGCAGAAGAATGAAACTGGATCCTCATCACTCACCTTATTCAAAAATCATCTCAAGATACCTCAAGGACTTAAATCTAAGACCTGAAACCACAAAAATTTTAGAAGATAACATCCGAAATACCCTTCTAGACATTGGTTTAGGCAAAGACTTCATGACCAAAATCCCAAAAGCAAATGCAAAAAATAAAATAAATAAAATAAATAAATAGCTGGAACTTAATTAAACTAAATTTTCTTCACAGCAAAAGAAACAGTCAACAGAGTAAACAGACAACCCACAGAGTGGGAGAAAATCATCACAATCTATACATCTGACAAAAGAGTTATATCCAGAATCTACAAGGAACTCAAATAAATTAGCAAGAAAAACATAAACAATCCCATCAAAAAAATGGACTAAGGACGTGAATAGTCAAGTCTCAAAGGAAGATATACGCCAACAAACATATGAAAAAATGCTCAACATCACTAATGATCAGGGAAATGCAAATCAAAACCACAATGTGATACCACTTTACTCTGAAAGAATAGCCATCATCAAAAAATAAAAAAATAATAATAGATGTTGGCAGAGAAGCAGTGAAAAGGAAACATTTTTAGACTGCTGGTGGGAATGTAAACTAATACAACTGCCATGGAAAACAGTGTGGAGAGTCCTTAAAGAACTAAAAGTAGAGCTACCATTTGATCCAGCAATTCCATTACTGGGTATCTACCCAGAGGAAAAGAAGTAATTATACAAAAAAGATACTTGCACATGCATGTTCATAGCAGCACAATTTGCAATTGCAAAAATATGGAACCAGCTCATATGCCCATCAATCCATAAGTGGATAAAGAAATTGTGACATATATATATATATATATATATATATATATATATACAATAGAATATTATTTAGCCATAAAAAGGAAAAAAATAGTGGCATTCACGGAAACCTGGATGGGATAGGAGACCCATTCTAAGTGATGAAACTCAGGAATGGAAAACCAATCATTGTATGTTCTCACTCATAAGTGGGAGCTAAGCTATTAGGATGGAAAGGCATTAGAATGATACAATAGACTCTGGAGACTTAGGGGCAATAGCAGGGGTGGTGGTAAGGAATAAAAGACTACAAATTGGGTACAGTGAATACTGCTCGGGTGATGGGTGCACCAAAATCTCACAAATCACCACTAAAGAACCCACTCATGTAACCAAACCCCACTTGTTCCCCAAAAACCTATGACAATAAAAATAAAAGAAAATATTATAAAAAGTAATTTTTTAGTGAAACTGAATCTTGACCTCTGTAATTGAAGGATGGAAAATGAAGTAAAAATAATATTACTAACCAAATGAGTTTCCCTCTGTGATTCTTCAGGCCTCTGTATTTTTCCGTTAGTTTTTCTTTGCTTATAACTGTCCAGAGCTAGATTCATCTGGCTACATATTTGCAAGAGAAGAGATTAAATTGTTAGTTTCCCCAAAAATATTAATATATTTAAAAACAAATAGATTTTATACTATAATTTTGAATTATCAATGTATTATATATAAATTATTTGAGAGGGAAATTTAGAAAACTTATATTTTATATAGTTTTCAGTTTATACACACACACACACTCACACACAGGTTTTGTGTTAAAAATTGAGACAAAATAATCTTTGCATCATTTATTTTAGAATTTAATAATATGACTGTGCCTGACTGGAGATATTTGTTTCTTTAATATGTTGGAAGCAAAATTTACTTTGGCCAGGATTGATTAAACAGTAGTTGCACAGTTGTCATGTTCATCTCTAAAATTCATCACTTTCTTCAATACAGAAGCTTTCCCTATATGTCAAAGAGAATCATTCTTGATCTTAAAATCTCAATTTTAAGATTGAGAAGACAGATGCTGTTGCTATTTGTATCTTTATTGCTTCATGAATTTATATATTTAGAGTCTGGAAAAGTCTGGACATATGTTATAGTTTGAGCAAAGTAATTGTGTAAATCAAAAAAGGTTTTGCAAATTAAGTAACAGGAAGACAAAGGAAGATTAAAAATTGCAAAATTGAGAGAGAAAGAAAGTGAGACTATAAAGGAAGGAAAAACATAGACATACAGAATTAACAGAAATATAGATTAAAAAGAGGGTGGGGGAGATTAAAGGAAGTGAAAAAGAGAAGGAAGGAAGAAGGGAAGGAAAAAGGAAGGGAGGGAGAGAAAGAGAGAATGAAAAAAGAAAAAAGGAAACAGGGAAAGAACTAGAAGGGAGGAAGAATACATTAATAGATAACTTTATTTTTCATTTCATCAAACTATGCATCCAGTTCTACTATTGTATTGCCAAATAAAATCATTATTATTATTACTAAAAGTTTGTTGAATTTATATTTATCTAAAATGAATTATATTTTAAGAGTCTTATTATTGTGTGATCTTTGGTGCCACTTACAATAAACTTCTTTATAAATTAGTCTATTGTTGCAAGAAGTCAGGGACCCCAAATGGAGGGACTGGCTGAAGCTGTGGCAGAGGAACATAAATTGTGAAAGTTTCATTTTAATACGGGCATTTATCAGTACCCAAATAATACTTTTATAATTTCTTATGCCTGTCTTTACTTTAATCTCTAAACATAAATTGTGAAGGTTTCATGGACATTTATCAGTTCCCAAATAATACTTTTATAATTTCTTATGCCTGTCTTTACTTTAGTCTCTTAATCCTGTTATCTTCATAAGCTGAGTATGTATGTCACCTCAGGACCACTGTGATAATTGTGTTAACTGTACAAATTGATGGTAAAACATGTGTGTTTGAACAACATGAAATCAGTGCACCTCAAAAAAGAACAGAATAACAGCGATTTTTAGGGAACAAGGGAAGACAACCATAAGGTCTGACTGCCTGTGGGGTTGGGCAAAAAGAGCCATATTTTTCTTCTTGCAGACAGCCTATAAACAGACGTGCAAGTAGGAGAGATATCACTAAATTCTTTTCCTAGCAGGGAATATTAATATTAATACCCTGGGAAAGGAATGCATTCCTGTGGGGAGGTCTATAAACAGCTGCTCTGGGAGTGTCTGTCTTATGCGGTTGAGATAAGGACTGAAATATGCCCTGGTCTCCTGCAGTACCCTCAGGCTTATTAGGGTGGGGAAAAACTCTGCCCTGTTAAATTTGTGGTCAGACCGGCTCTCTGCTCTCAAACCCTGTTTTCTGTTGTTTAGGATGTTTATCAAGACAATACGTGCACAGCTGAACATAGTCCCTTATCAGTAGTTTTGTTTTGCCTTTTGTCCTGTTCCTTCAGAAGCATGAGACCTTTGTTCTGCTTTTTGCCCTTTGAAGCATGTGATCTTTTTACCTACTCCCTGTTTTACACCCCCTCCCCTTTTTTGAAACCCTTAATAAAAACTTGCTGGTCTGAGACTCAGGCGGGTATCACAGTCCTACCGATATATGATGTCACCCCCGGAGGCCCAGCTGTAAAATTCCTCTCTTTGTACTCTTTCTCTTTATTTCTCAGCTGGCCGACACTTATGGAAAATAGAACCTATTTTGAAATATTGGGGGTGGGTTCCCCCGATAATCTATAAGAATTGAATTTTAGGCTGTTAAAGTGGATAACTATGACTTAATTATAGAATTGGCAAGAGTTTTTAGCATTACTCAGCAACTTTCATATGAAAGGTTAGCAATAACACTATAGTTTACAACATAAAATAAGAATCTCTAAATATTCCAAAGTCAAGAGTGAGGCAAAAGCTATCAATTCAAAGGAGATATCCATTACCTTAATAAAATAATTGGCCAGGTGTGGTGGCTCAAGCCTGTAATCCCAGCACTTGGGGAGGCCAAGGCTTTTGGATCACCTGAGGTCAGGAGTTCGAGACCAGCCTGGCCAACATGGCAAAACCTTGTCTCTACTAAAAACACAAAAATTAGCTGGGCATAGAGGTGCAGGCTTGTAATCCCAGCTACTTGGGAGGTTGAGGTGGGGGGATCACTTGAGCCTGGGCGATGGAGGTTGCAGAGAACCGAGATTGTGCCACTGTACTCCAGCCTGGGTGACGGAGTGAGACCCTGTCTGAAAAATAAAATAAAATAAAATAGTTGGAATTATTTACTTTTACCTTATGGGTTTTACATTATACAGGCAAAAAGAACCACAAAGGAAGTCAGAAGATAAAAAACAAATCTGATTAAAGGACAAAGTTTCCACCTAAATTTTCAGTCTCCCTTTTCCTTTCAATTGTGATATATATGACCTCTGAGGTAAAAATTATCCTTTATTCCTATAGATTAGCAAATTTACCATTCTGGCAGTTGTTTTCTTCATTGAAATATGTCCTTGCTTCCAGCTAAAATGTATATTTAAGGAATAGCAATTTTTATGGAATATGTCATAGGAAGCATAAACAGTATTTTCAAATGCAGGCTGTAAGTTAAGTAAAACATGACACTAAAAAGGAACAGCAAAACTGTTGTTTTCTAACTGTTGGCTAACCAAGATGACTAGCTACGTAAATATATAAACATTTACATTGGAAGTAAAAACTATTTAAAAAGATATTTTATTGTGAAGCCCAAATATAAACTTGGCTTTGACTGCTGTTATAGGCAGCTCAGCTTCTATCCTGAAGGACATCTACCCTTATGTGTTTTGGCAGATCTCCAGGGTACCCTGGGAGAAAGTAATATCTCCATTTACATATCAAAGCAAATGAAGGATCCAAGCTCAGTGGAACTCTAAGGGGATGTGAAAGTATTTTATGAAACAGGAGTTTCAAAAACTTTCCTTCCTAAAGCCAGGCTACCTCCTTCTTTTTATTTCATTTCATTTATTTTACTTTAAAATCATCTTTAATATTTGTGGGTACAATGACTAGCACGCTGTAGTATCTTACTGAGAAGCAACCAAGATAAGCCTGAGAAAGAGTTAAAAGATGCTATGCAAGAGGTTTTTGAATTAAATAACTGTTTTCAGTAAAGATATAGGGAAAAGGAGAAGTCAGTTTAAGGATCTGGGCCCACTCTCACGGTTTTACTGTTTT